>NC_000001.11:230123515-230275030 GCF_000001405.40 Homo sapiens
GTGTTGCCCGCACAGCTAAGTTTAGACACCGAGCTTTGGAGACCTCTGAGAGCCGACTCCACCTTTGATTTTCAGTTGTCTTTCATTTTGTACCCATTTGGTATTGTCTTGCTTGAGCCTTTGTGGAAATAGACCTTGACTTCATTTCTTAAGTCTTTTTTACTTTCTACGATTATGGAAAGGAAAAATATATATTTTATTTAGAAGGCAACAGGTGTACTTATGTTCTTCTCCTATATGATGGGTAGTGGAAATGTTTTAATTGCCTTCTTTTGTCTACTTTAACCTCATGATCATTGCCTTTGTTTGCTAGTCTCTCAGCATGCGTGGTTTTGAAAATGACCTGCACACTTAGCAGATGTGATACAGAAACCAAACCCCCGAACCACACTGTCAGGGGACTCTAAAAATGTGAAAACACCTGGTTTTGGTTTCTTAGTCATTCTGTTTATTTGGTGAACTCTGTAGCTTCAAACGTACAGCTTTGACCACTTAATGAAAGCATGTGGATAGTGACGTGAGGATGACCTGAAGATATGACTCCCTGTCCTTTGGACTAAGTGGCCTTTAAACCAGTCACGTGCCTGGCTCAACTTTAAAAAGAAGTAAAGACATTGTCATTAGATCTATACAATGTCAAGAATATTACCCGGCCTGGATTTAGGTGGAAATGAATTAAGTGCAAGTACTGATAGGTACTTTCTGGGGGTTAATTTTATTATTTTCTTCTCTTTAATTTTGATGTAGACATGGAGACAGCAGAGGGAGAGACACCAATTCTTAAGCATGTTGTGTGCTGGTGTGTTGCAAAACATTGCTGCAAGAGCTGTCTATCACCCGCAAGAGCCCTTCTGACCTGATCTGTGGTCGTACTGGACTTGTGGCAAGCTGGAATGTCCCCTTGTCACCAGTGGCGTGTTAATGTTACTAAAAAGCAAGGAAAATATAATTGAGTTCTCCCTAAATCTACCTGTGGCATGAAAAAATCTCTCAGGTTGCATCATGTCCAGAAATAACTATGGTGGGGCCTAATGGGAGTAATTCCCTGGCTCCAGGTATTTGGAGGAGGCAGGCAGCACTTCTCATTGGAGTGATTTGGAACCAAGGCAGTACATTTTCCTGCTGTTCCTGAACAATCTGAAGTTTTGCAGATCCTTGGAGAAATAAAAGCCACAGTCTTGGAACCTCCCACCTTCTTTTGGCCTGAGTCCTTCTCATGAATTCAGCAACCAAAATGGAGTCATGGGGACGGGTGGGACCTGCCGTGATGGTCCCACCTGCATTACCCCCATGGCAGACTAGGGTGGTGTGGCCTGTCTGGGAATGTGGTCTTTCTCTCTGAGAACCCAGCTATGTGGTTAGTAACTCAGGATTGTGGCCCTGTGGTTACTGTGCACTAATCAGCCCTCCAAACACTGGAGGAGCACACCCTGGTGTCTGCACCGCTGGCTGTTTTCAAGAGTGTTGTTCTCTTCCACCAAACAGCCTACACTCAGCCCTGCACTCAGATTTTGCTTTATTTGTTGATGAAGCTGGAAAGAGTCCATTTGACGTGTAACCTGGTCTCCGCTAAGCGGTTGTTCTCTATTCTTGTCAAATGTGAAGGCTTCCCAAGCCTGGTTATGCATTGTTGGCTGCCAAAGAGGGCCAAGTGTTTGAAAGTGAATACCAGATTAGAGAATTCATAAATGAAGATGCAATAACCCATCACACAATTAGAGTGCAGGATCCCTTTCCCACAATCAGAGTAACAGAGATGGGACTAAGGAAGTTGTACAGGCCAGAGAAGGGAGGGGGCTGTGGGGAGAAAGAAGGAATAGCTGGTTAGAATGTCCCTGTGTTTCTCAAATTCTGCAGTTTCCTAGCGACCCCTCCCTCAGGAGTGTAGCGAGGCCTGGCTGGTGTTTGACAGCGTCACATATTTTAAATTAAAGGCAGAGTGAATAAGGAGAGATGAAAGGTTTACTGCGTTTGGATCGTGAGTCTTTCAGCCAAGATCGTGTCTTAAATTTTGTATCTTGTAATATCGTATCTGTGGGATTTCGTCAATAATGCTGACAAAATCTGAAGTTGTACAAAGGGATAGTGGGAGTTTCTCATCAGAGGTCATAGATTTTGGTGGGTAAGAGTGCTGCTTGCTTAGAGGGGTTTTGGCAGCTGCCTTCAGGCAGTGAGAAACTGTTAAGGTAGGAAGGAGAACAGACAACTTCGGCTTAGATGAGAAATTGTGAGCACTTTCCAACAGTGACATCCCAGTACTCTGTTTAAGTGAAAAGCTGAACTCTCTTAAAACTCTCTTGCCATGCCTCATGTCATCATTTCTCCAGGATTGGAATGTGTGCCACTCCTAGAAAGGATTATTGGCAGAGTTTCAATGTCTCTCTCCTGTCTTTCTTTTCCTCTCTTCATTCCATGTGAATATACGAAGGAAGGTGGCTCCCCACCCAGTGCTCAGAGGTTGGGTGGAGGCAGCACACAGACAGGTAGTGACCCTTCAAGCATGGGGAGGCCAGAGTTCAGAGGACGGTGTGTGGGCTACAGCCAAAGAGGAGCGAGGAGCAGGGAGGCCTTTTGGAACAGAAACCCTGAGCCACACTTGAAGAATGATGAGGTTCCCTAGATGAGTGTGTGGGGGCAGGGGTGTGGGGGCAACCCCAGCAGAGCTGTGGAGATGGTGATGGGAACTTCCCAGAGCAGGAGTGTGGGGTTGCTGTGCTAGGAGAGGGCTGTAGGAACACCCAGAGTGGAGACACAGGCAGGGCCAGTTCGGCGGGGGCAGGCACCCCTCTGCAGAATGTGGAAAGGGCCTGGTGATGAGTATAGCTGAGAGAGGGCAGCCATGCACTTTTTGGGGCCCGCTGGGGTGCTCTGAGAGGGAGGGATGGAAGGTTGCAAGCCTGGATTCTTGAGACCTGGAGACCAGGGAACAGAGTGACCTTTGTCTTATATCATAAGGGGGTTGCAGTTGAGGACTAACGGATGCCGATGCCTCGAGAGGGTTTGGGGTGTGGGAAGAGAGGCCCCCGCCTCCATCCTGCCTCGCGGGTAGAAACATGAGCGGGAATGAGAGTGGTTCAGAAGGCCATCCTCCCGCAGGCAGCCTCACTCACGTACCTCAGTCTCTCCTCGGAAAAGTGTGTGCATGGGATTGTAATATCGCATCTATGGGAAATGTCAATGTTGACAAAATCTAAAGTTGTACAAAGGGATGGTGGGAGTTTCTCATTGGAGGTCATAGATTTTGGTGGGTAAGAGTGTTCCAGCCCGTATAACCCCACGTGCACACTTTGCTGAGGAGAGACTGAGGCACGCCAAGGAGTGACTGCACCCAGCGCAGGTTCAGCAGTGGCCAGGACGATAGTCCCCTTCAGGATTTGGAGTGAGGAGAAAAGGATTTATGGGGCTGACATTTGTTTTCAGACCTAAACCATTCCTGTAAAATTGCAACCTAATTGCTCAGTCTGGCGGTTTCCTCTTCCTGGTAGTGGGTGAATGGAGGTGGGGGGAGCGTCTCCCCTCTTTTTTGGATAGATGTTAATATTTTGCACTGCTTTTAGCACCTGGGGAAAACCCATTAAACAAACGTCCCCCCCTCCCATTGCTGCCTGAGGCAGGGGCATGTGACCCACACACCCTACTTTACTCGGAAACAGTGACTTTGCAGCAACCCTAAATCCTGCTGTGAGCCCCGCCTGCGCTGGTGCTGTGTGATAAACTGACACCTCCCCCTTCTTCTCTGTGGAAGACTCTCTTAATGCTGTGAGCCCCGCCTGAGCTGGTGCTGTGTGATAAACTGACACCTCCCCCTTCATCCCTGTGGAAGACTCTCTTAATAGTGTAGTTTGATTTCAAATTCATTATGAATAGATTTTTTTTTTTGAGTTGGAGTATCGCACTCTCACCAGGCAGGAGTGCAGTGGCGCAATCTTGCCTCACTGCAACCTCCGCCTCCTGGGTTCAAGTGATTCTCCTGCCTCAGCCTCCCAAGCAGCTGGGACTACAGGCATGCGGCACCATGCGCAGCTAATTTTTGTATTTTTCGTAGAGGCAGGGTTTCACCATGTTAGCCAGGATGGTTTCGATCTCTTGACCTCGTGATCCACCCACCTCGGCCTCCCAAAATGTTGGGATTACAGATGTGAGCCACTGTGCCGGCCGAGGGTTTTTTTTTTTAATTTTAAAGAGCTGGATCTATGTGAGCCCCTCGCGGTGGTGGTTGCTGTAATCCTCCTCAGTGATACGCTCCCGTGCTCAGTTCATCAGAACACTCCTGGGTGCGTGAACTCTTTTGAGGTGTGAATTGTTGCACTGTAACTCATTCCTCATTACCACGGTATTGCTGACGTGGCATGTAAGATGGGATGTCTTACAGGCCAAGACGGAACCTCCCCTCAGTCCTCCCTGTGAAGCCAGCCGCTGTGGCCCTTGGTGCCCTCTGAGGAGCCATCTATCCCAGCGGCCCCCAAGGGCTGTGTGGGGGATGCAGGCACAGACTGAATGGGATGATTTGTCCCAAATGCAGCTTTTCTTTCCTTCTCTAGAGTTTCTCATCACCAGCTGGGTGGCTGCAGGAAGGGTGTCTGAATCCTTACCAATACCCATGAGGCCAGGGATGGTCAGGCCCCCAGAAGGCCTCTTAGTACTCTTCTGGCCATCTGGGGCCATCTGTCCTATAGCATAGCCTCTCTGTCACATCGCACTCACCATGTGCAGGTACTTCTAAATGCAAGTGCGCTGGAGAATGTGTGTGTGTGTGTGTGTGGTTATGAAGGAAAACAGGACCTTCGCTTGTCGTGGTGTGTACAAGGGCAGGCGTGTGTTCTCCGATGTTATATGGATTTTGTGGCCCTGAAGCCGTCAGCCACTTGGAGTTTTGGGGGGCTCTGCCTCTTCCCCGAAGCTCTGTTCTGTGGAGGCCACAGAGCCCAGCGTCTGCATGGCTGCTTATTAAATTCAGTGGGCCACTTGGGTCTTGTGCACCAGGGATGGAGCCACTGGCTTCTGGGTTGCCTCTGGAGTTGCTGGCTTTTGGATAGGGAGGTAAGGGAGAAAGTAAAACAGGAATGATCTTAGAGAAGGGACTTTCATAAGGGTGTGTGTGTGGCGGGGGCGGGGGTGGTTGGGGGGAGGTAGGCTTTCCTTTTTTCCCCCAAGCTAGTCTCTCCTGAGTGTCACAAGAGCCTGAGTGTTGGCTGGGAGGCATCTGTCTTCAGGGCCTTCCTTGCTCCAGTCTCCTCTTCTCTTGGAAGTTCCTCTTTCTGCCAGAGCATCAGCTCAGGACAGCCTTCCTAAGCCCCCATCTTCCTATATGTGGGGTGCCCCGAGCCCCATCCAGGGCACCTGCGCTTTCTGGTTCGGGGACATCTCATGCCTCAGCACTGTTGAGAGCAGCTCAGCCTGGCACTTTGTGGATGTTTGAGTCAGTGGAGAGGATTTTCTGGATTATCAGCAATACTTCCACCAGCTCCTTCTTCCTGAAGCCCCCGCGACACTTGTGAAGCACACACCCTGCTTTTACTCAGTGGCCAAATGCCGCCGCTAGCGACGCATCAGTCATTCGGTGTATTTCGGGCTCTCTCATAATTTTATGATGAGTTTGCTGTTCGTTTGTAGTCTGTTTCTAATCTGGCTCATTAGGAATTAGCAAAACTTGTCTCTTGCTCAAAATAGATTGTGTTGCCAGGATTCAAAGCCAAATTCTGACTGCAGATATGCTGCGAATTTTTCTGTTTCTTTAGACTTTTTTCTTTCCTGTCCTATAACCTGTTTGTTAGTGGGGTAGAAAATCCACAAATTTAACTCTTACTATTTTATTTTTTAGAGATGAGATCTTGCTCTGTCACCCAGGCTAGAATGCAGAGGCGTGATCGTAGCACCCTGAGGCTTCAAACTCCTGGGCTCAAGTGATCCTCCCTCCTCAGCCTCCTAAGTAGCTGTGACTATAGGTGTTTGCCACCATGTCTGGCTAACTTTTTAATTTTTTTTGTAAAGATGGGGTCTTGCTGTATTGCCCAGGCTGGTCTTGAGCTTCTGACCTCAAGTGATCTTCCCCTCTCGGCCTACCAAAGTCCTGGTGTTATAGAAGTGAACCACTGCACCTGGCTCACAAATTTAACTCTTTCAAGAGGAAACAATACACCCAAGGGTCCTTACTTTTTTTCCCCCCAAAATTCTGTCACTTAAAAATAAAAGTTCAGCTTTCGTTTTAGACTCAGGGTGCATGTGCAGGTTTGTTCATGGGTATTCTGCATGCTGCTGGGGGTTGGCCGAGTGTCCTTCTGCTGTGACTGGTTGACCTGACACTGAAAAGGCTGCTGAGTTCTGTTAGTCACTCAGCATCAGTGCATTGGATCTGAAAGGACCACAGGTTGTCCCCAGGCCAAGCTCCTGGCTCCGCAGAGCAGGCATTGCTTCTGCAGCTTCCTGTGGACAGGCATCACCCGTCTGCTGAAGTACGCTGAACGGGCACAATTGCAGGATTACTGCCTTGAGATCTGCATGACCTCCATGTTCTTACTTGTAGAACGTGGAGCCCAAGTCTACCATCCCTGCAGTCCTCTCTTGTCTCTGAAGCTTTGAGTGAGCTGATGCCCATCACTGTGGAACTTTGTAGTCCTAATACCTCTTGCACATGAAAATCTCTCTGCTATTTGAAGACCTTTCTCATCCCGCCTTCTACTACCATCCATATCTTTCTTCTGTAAGCTAAACCTCTCTAATTGCCTCACATGATAAGATTTTGAGGGATTTCTTCACCTACCCACAGCGCTGCCGCAGCCAGGCCTCATGATACCTTAGCTCATAATAGCCACCGAGTGGCTTGGGAGAAGCACTTAGCATGGGGTCTGGCACTTAGAAAGCACTCACTAGATGCTCGTTTCTGGACACTGCTGGGCACTGGCTGATGTTAAGGACTCCCTGTGCTCAGCCGGTTGTGAAGGGTTTGGGAGCCTGGTGTTTACCCCCACTGTTGGATGAGGTGCTTCAAGGAACACCAGTTTGATACAGAGGCAGTTTGGGGTTTACTAGGGAGTCAGCCAGCGTGAGTCACGTGGTATCAGGAACACCGGGCCCTGGGGACCGACCCCTGTGTCTCCCCTAAGTAGGATGCTCCCATGCAGGAGCAGAAGGACAAGCAGCCCGGAGCTGCTGCCCGGCTGTGCCCAAAGTGGGATTTCTGCTGATCAAGAGTCTGGAATTTACACTCCAGCAGGTTTGGAAGTCTCGGCGACAGCTCCTGTATGTTCAGTCAAGCTTGGCTGACCATGGCTAAACCACTTTAATGAGTTTATGGGACACCAGCGAAGCTGCAAACTGGGTCGGGATGAAAGCTGAGTGGGCGGGTGGGGGCTTAAATGGGAAAGCACTGGGAGGGCTGGCCCACACCCGTGACTGCCCTGCGTCTCATGGGAGCAGAAAGGTGGAGGCTGAGCCTGAGACAGGGTAGGAACCCCTCTTAGGAGCCTGTCAGGCACCCTCCAACATAAAAATTTTAAAAATTTAAGTATTAAAAAAACTAGGCATCTCGCTAGCCTTGAGAAAGAAATCAACAACCTAATAAACAAGATAGCTTAAAACAGTATCTAAAAAGCTAGGCACAAAACGTTTGTTTTTTTTTTATAAAAATTAAATACCTTAACATATGTCCCTGAGTCGTTTTTTAGAAACCTGGACCCCCACCAAATAATAAATGCTGTCTGCAGCACATAGACCTCGGGTAACAGAAAACTGAGGACACAACTCTGACCGCCAGTTTTAATTTCTTTCTGAGAGGCCTGGAGGAAGACACTTCCACAGGCCAGATGCTAACATTCATTTCTGCTGATCCCAAATTCCTAGACAAAGCTTTGCTTCCTTAACCAATAGCAAATCAAAAAACCTTTGAATCCACCTTTGACCTGTGGGCCCTGCTTTGAGACATCCCACCTTTCTAGGTCAATCCCATGCAGAGCTTTCATGTATTGATTTATGACTTTGCCTGTAACCTCTGCCTCCCCGCCTTTAAAAACCCTTACCTGTAAGCCATCTGGGAGTTAGGTCTTAAGCACTAGCCACCCAATTCTCCTTGCTTGGCACCCTGCAATTTAAACCTCGCACTGTCTCGCTGCTATCCTGATGTCAGCGTTTAGCTCCGCTGCACCAGCCAAGTAGACCGAAGTTCGGTTTGGTAACAAGCCCTGGAGAGATAAGGCAGGGGCTTGGCTGGTCCAGGTATGGGGTCCTGTTGGAGGCCGAAGAGTGAGGGTCGTGATCAACTCAGTATACCACTGGAGGCTATGTAAGTAAGCAGCGAACTGTTTCTCATAAATGCAGAATGTTGGCAAACTGACAAACTGCGTCTGCCACCCAGAAGTGATGCTGAGGGCAGTTATGACCCAGACGCAAGTGTTTCTTATGATTAGGCATCATTGAAGCCTGTTAGTAACAGTATGAACCTGTGATCAATTAAGCAGCTGACCAATCGTTACCTCCTTCCTGCTCTTGTTACCCAATAAATAGGAAGGGCTGTAGAAGCTTAGGGGGGCTGCCTTTGCTCACTAGAAGCAGGGTGCCTTTTTCCTCTTCTTCTTCTCTCTTCTTCCCCATGCTAGCCTTCCCTTAAAATAGTTACTTTTGTTTTTTGTTATTTCTACATTCATCCCTTCAATCAGTCTCGTAATGACGGTCTCAAGTAGCAGTAACAGTAGTAACTGTGGCGGTCAGCAACAGGGTCCTGGGAGTAACTCTCTTCTGATTTGGTTTTCACTGCCCCGAAATAGATAGGGGTAGGGGAGACCAGGACGTCCAGCCTGAGAACTGTTAAATCACCCAGATTTCCTAAGGGAAGAACACACCAGACTCCTTTTCTGTCCAGGGGCTTGGTGGCCATCTCTCCAGCTGATACTGGGAGCGTCACAGTGGGATGAGGCTGCCTTCCATCACAGCTCCTTGAACCCTGTGAAAGCCCGCAGAGGCTGAGTCCTGCACCCCCTCTAGTTGGGTCTGTCTCTTCCTTTGGTTTTCCTGCAGGGCCAGGCCTTGCTGAGAATGTGAGATTGGGAGCCATGAGGAAGGGACTGTACTAGAGAGGTGACATGCAGACTGTCTTGGAACTTGCTTGGGAAGAGGTGGAAGATAGTGGTACATAAATGGAAAAGGTGATCTGTGCATTTCTTGAAGCAGGTACAAACCAGTGGTTGAAAGAATTAAAACAGCCATTTAAAAAAATGTGACTATTTTGTTGCAAAATAAAGGACTGCTATATTAGTTGTTTCTCTTCTTTCTGAATTCCTGTAAGAATATCCGAGTGTCTATTGTGCTGTGTTCCTTTTGCCCTGGAATTGTGTTTCTTGAGCGTGGGATGAGAGGGTAACATTCTTCCTCTGTCATCCTCCACCCTATTATAGAACTGATGCATATTAATTATAAAAATACAGCCTAGCATAAGGAAGCAGGAAGAAGGAACACATAATTCATGCCGCGTAAGCATCCCCACCACGGTGCCTTCTAGGCTTTATTCTGTTTGGTTTTTTAATATACTCGTGGTAACAATGTGTTGCAGTTTGGTTTTTTTCCCTGCCTTGAAAGTTTTAACACTATATTGTATTTTTACATGATCTAAAAAGCTTTTATTAACATTGTATGGATATGTCCAATCTACCTAGCTAGTTTGGTTTTGTAACTTATGATGAACCTTTTTATGTAAACCTTTGCAATACATTCTTTACTATGTCCTTGGAATAGATTTCTAAAAGTGGAATTACCGGGTCAGAGAGTTTGAACATTTTTAAGGCTTTTGATAGATGTTCTCAGCTCTTTTCCAGAAAGGTTGTACAAGTTTACACTCAGACCAGAAGACTCTTTTGTACCTTTGCCACATCGTTAATATTTGCAAATAAAATCTTTGTTTATTGCCTAGGTGGTAGTTGACGTTTCTGTTTCGATTTCTTTTTTCTTTTTTTTTTTTTTTGAGACAGAGTCTCACTCTGTCGACCAGGCTGGAGGCTGGAGTGCAGTGGCATGATCTCAGCTCACTGCAACCTCCACCTCCCGGGTTCAAGCAATTCTCCTGCCTCAGCCTCCAGATTAGCTGGGATTATAGGCGCCCGCCACCGCGCCCAGCTAATTTTTTGTGTTTTTGGTAGAGATGAGGTTTCTCCATGTTGGCCAGGCTGGTCTCGAACTCCTGACCTCAGGTGATCCGCCTGTCTTGGCCTCCTAAAGTGCTGGGATTACAGGCATTAGCGCCACACCTGGCCTTAATTTTGATTTCTTTAGTTCCCTTGAACTGAAAAGTGTCTCATGTGTTACCTGATCCCGTAGCCTGCTTTTCTCATACTTTGTGTTAGCTGTTTAATAAATATTACAAATTGCAACCCTTTGTCTATTTTTAGGTAATATTTTCCCCACACTTTTCCTTTTTTTTAAATAGAGAGGAGACTTAACTTTATGTAGTTAAATTCTCATCCTTTTGCTTTCTGGTTTCCTCCATTTCTTTTAAGCTTAGAAATGCTTGTCTCAACCAGAGATCAGGTAAGTAATACTTAATTACATATTACTCTGATACTTGGTTGGTTTGCTTGATTTTGATATTTAACTCTTCATCCACCTGAATCTGTTTTTTTTTTTTTTTTTGGCAGAGTCTCACTCTGTCACCAGGCTGGAATGCAGTGGCGCAATCTCAGCTCACTGCAAGCTCTGCCTCCCGGGTTCACGCCATTCTCCTGCCTCAGCCTCCCGAATAGCTGGGACTACAGGCTCATGCCACCATGCCCAGCTAATTTTTGTATTTTTAGTAGAGACGGGGTTTCACCACGTTAGCCAGGGTGGTCTCAATCTCCTGACCTCATGATCCGCCCGCCTTGGCCTCCCAAAGTGCTGGGATTACAGGTGTGAGCCACTGCACCTGGCCTATTTGGTATTTTTGAGAAGTGCAGCTCTAAGTTGGTTTTATCCCCTTCCCCCAATTCCTAACCAGTTGTTCAGGTGAGACAACCATTTGTTATTTCTTTGGTTTCAGAGAAGCTGTATCTATCTATCTGTGGTGTATCCCTCTCAAACCTCCCCTCATTCTGGGTTGGGCCCAGGAGGAGGGTATCCAACCCAGACCTGGTGGAGAGGAGCAGCTTTTTTTAAGGCCAGTAGTGCTCAATATTTATAAACTCCTTCTGTATCAGCTCATGAGACATTTCACAGTTGTACTCTTCGCCTGCTTGGCTGTGTGACTGAGAGGAGCTGGGCGTGGGGTGATACAGCAGCGAGCAGGTGAGGTATCGGGGCAAGCCCACCAGCATCTCTCCCGTGTCATCTGCACTTCAGTATTGGATTCCTCCCCGTGGACCCAGTGCTCAGAAAATCCAAGGCCAGTCTTGGTGCTACCACTTGCTTAGACAAATCACTGAGTTGTCTGTGTCAGCCAGTTTCTCCGCTGTATTTAAGTATGATCAGTGTGAACTAAAAACCTATTTGGCCTGCCTGTTGTGAGGCTTAAATGAGAGGAAGTATCTGAGAGTGTTTCAAATCATCTAAAGCATTGCCCTCACATAATTTCAAAGCAATATTAATGTATTAATTTGAGCCTTTAGGTGCTAAGGGTTGTAAGATGCACCATCATTTTGTCAATTTTAAGATGCATTCCCCATTTCAGAGATGTCGGAACAGGAAAAGCCATGCATCCTGGAATTGGTGTTTGGTCCTGACTCTCATGGGGGGTGAGAAATGGTAGAGACAGTGTCCTAGACTCGGGGGTGGGGATGCGAGGGGTGTAGAGGAAGACAGTCATGGATACCCATATTTTATTCTCTAATGATACAGAATCTTCATTTTGGGCCGATTCCTGTGGCTCTATTTTCTCTTTGTAATTCTACTTTGCGATGCATGTTTCAGAAGAGAAACCATTTTCCAGCTTTCTTCATCTCATTTCCGTTGTGCTAACAGAGAAACTCTGAATTCATCTGAGGTGCTTTTTACTTTTCTTTCGGTGAATTGTCAGGCATGAGCCACAGAAGCCATCCGAATCAGGTTTCTGTGTGGAAATCACACGGCGGGGAGGTGGAGGCACAAAATGATCTTAATGACATGCACATCTTCCTGCTCCCTTGTGGAGCTGAGTGTGGGGGGCCCTTTGCAGTCTGGCAGGCTCGGCTCTGGATTTGAATTCAGTCTCTGCCATTTATCACTTGAGGGATCTCAGATGAATGCTCTTTCCCTTTCCCTTTCCTTGAGACACAGTCTCCCTGTGTCACCCAGGCTGGAGTGCAGTGGTGTGGCAGCCTCGACCTCCTGGGTTCAAGCAATCCTCTTGCTTCACCCTCCTAAGTAGCTGGGACTACAGGTGTGCACCACCACGCCTGGCTAACTTTTTCATTTTTTTTTTTTTTATAGATGGGGGTCTCACTGTGTTGCCCAGGCTGGTCCTGAACTCCTGGTCTCAGGCGAGCTCCCCACCTCCGCCTCCCAAAGTGTTAGGATTACAGGCGTGAGCTGCTGTACCTGGCCAAGTGCTCTCTTTCTGATCCTTAGTTTTCTCTTCTGTAAAGTGAGGATAAAAGGATATATTCTGGAGCGTTGTCAGGAGAATTGAATGAGCTGCATGTGTAAGCCCTAGCAGAGTTTCCTGGGTATAGAGGAGGCACTTAGTCAGCGTCACCTCCTTCCCATCTTCTCAGGAGTTGGAGGGTGACAGAGCAGAGGAAATTTAGGTTTTCACTCTTCTGGGGGTGGGTCAGGTAACTATGATCGAACCTGCACGCATTGTTTTAGTGCCACGTTGATTGGGTCGCGCCTGATCATTTGCTTCTGGTCTGACTGTCCCAGATCCCTGTCAGCACATGTCTGGCACCAGCCATCCTCTGATAACCCTGCCATAGAGCTCCAGGAGAGAGTGGGGCCTGTTCCTGGTGGCCTGAGTTGTTGAATTGTACTCTTTAGACATCGAACCTAATGTTTCAAAACACACATTCATTCGTGAGGCCTGTCTGCCGCGCTTTCTCTCCCGGATGTGAGTTCCAGCACATGCATGCACCCCCTCACTGCCCCCCATCCAGAGCCACAGCCTGCCCTGTCGGAATATGTCCAGCCCTAATGAGGGAGGCGTTGTCTTCAGATCACACACTCCGCAGCGGCTCTGCTCTGCCGCGCCCCTTCAGGAGCGCTGGGTCTGAGAGAGGACTTCAGAAATAACGGGGGCAACGTTCCGCTTTGATGCTATTATTAGAATTTTCCAAACACCGCTTGTTTGTAGCTTCACAGGGACTTGGAGAGAGGCGAGTGGGAAGAGGTTGCTGCTAGTGCCATTGTACGGGAAGCTCAATGGCATTTATCTGGTCCAAGGTCATTCAACAAGAACAGGTTGAAATCACCCTCAGACCGAAGAGCCGGCCGTCTGTGCATTTTGCTTTTCCCGCAGTTCAGCCGGGACTCTGCTTCACGGATGCTTTCACCTCACGGACAGCGAAGCCAGACACACAGGCCCTGCGTGGTTGGGGGCGAGAGCATTTTTCCATAGTCAGTGGGCTATTCCGAAGCTAAGAGACCGTTTCCTTGAACCAAAAGGCTGATTCTTTCCTGCTGGAGCTCCTGTTTTCATACTCATTTCCCTGGGGAGTGGAGCTGAGGCGTGTGGACTGTTCCCACCCCCGCCTGCACCCAATAAGCTTTGGGGGAGCCAAATAGTGCTTTTCACTGGAGCCTGAGTGGATGCAGGGAGGCACACATGCTTCATAGAAGGGAATCAGTGATCTGTCCCGCTGCTCTGGGGCTCCAGCATGGAGCTTCACGTAGGCTGGGGTGGGGTTGGTTCTGTGTGACAGCCTGCACAGAGGTGGTGGATATGGCCGAAGCCACTTCTGCTTCATGCTGTGTTTGGGCCAGATGTCCTTGGTGGCTGGGAGGGTCTGCTGTGGAGGTGCCCATGGTCAGAGAGCCTGCAGGCTGCAGTGGCTGACCTCTCCCCTCCCCACCTGGCTTTGCTGAGAGGGTGCTTGCTGGGTGTTCTCAGCTGGGCAGCCAGCCGAGGCTGTCACAGTGACAAGGGAGGAATTATTTTCTCTTCAAGGGGTGGATGTGAATTACTTAATTATTTGCAGAAGTTTCATTGCTTTTTACTTACATTCTCCTGATTCCTCCCCAGTGGAAGCATCAAGACCCCACTGCAACAGGCTCGTCAGCATCTTGTCACAGCTGTGGATGTTTGCCAGGCTTTCTGGACGAGTCCAGCTCTAGATTGCAACCTGGTTTAGCTACACACGTTGAAAAGGAGAAGAAAAAAGTAGAGATAAGATAGGATTTGGCTCAGGATTGATGTTGTATAGGGTTTGACTTTTATTATCTTTCACTCTTGAAAAGTGAAATATATTCTCCTTTGATTTCTGTTGACGTTGTTGGAAATAGAGATTTCCTTCAAGTCTTTAAACAGCATTATTATCGTTTCCTAGGTTCTTAGTTTTGATTTGTTTTACAAGCAGTAGTGCTTCATTCTAATCCTCCTGCATCCATTTTACCTTTTTCTCCTTGGAATTTGTTCAGTGATGACTTAATAGAAAAAACACCTTGCATGTCGTTGCGTGCGTCTTTTCCAGACCTCTGTCTGTGGCCTCTTCTCCTTTCATCTGCCATTGCCCAAGTGTTACTGGAAAGGGGTCCTCATCCAGACCCCAAAGGACGGTTCTTGGATCTTGCACAAGAAAGAATTCAGGGTGAGTCCATGGAGTAAAGTGAAAGCGAGTTTATTAAGAAAATAAACAGGGCCAGGCATGGTGGCTCAGAGCGCCTGTATTCCCAGCACCTTGGGAGGCCAAGATGGGCGGATCACCTGAGGTCAGGAGTAAGAGACCAGCCTGGTCAACATGGTGAAACCCCATCTCTACTAAAAACACAAAAATTAGCCAGGCATGGTGGTGCGTGCCTGTAATCCCAGCTACTTGGGAGGCTGAGGCAGGAGAATCGCTTGAACCCAGGAGGTGGAGGTTGCAGTGAGCTGAGATCACGCCTCTGCACCCCAGCCTGGGCGATGCAGCGAGACTCTGTCTCAAAAAAAAAAAAAAAAAAAATGAAACAGAAGAAAGAATGGCCACTCCATAGGCAGAGCAGTGGCATGGGCAGCTTGACTGAGTATACTTATGGTTATTTCTTGATCATATGCTAAATAAGAGGTGGGCTTTTTATGAGTTTCGTGGGAAAGGGGCAGGGATTTTCCTGGAACTGAAGGTTCCTCCCTCTTTTAGACCATCTACGGTAACTTCTTGACGTTGCCATGGCATTTGTAAACTGTCATGGCACTGATGGGAGCGTCTTTTAGCTATTGTGTTATAATTAGCATATAATGAGCAGTGAGGATGACCAGGTGTGGCTTTTGTAGCCATCTTGGTTTTGGTGGGTTTTGGCAGCTTCTTCACTGCATCCTGTTTTGTTTATCAGTGGGTTCTTTATGACCTGTATCTCATGCTGACCTCTTGTCTTATCCTGTGACTGAGAACGCCTAACCTCCTGGGAATGCAGCCAGTAGGTCTCAGCCTCATTTTACCCTATTCAAGATGGAGTCACTCTGGTTCAAACACATCTGACATGAGCACTCAGTGTCTACCCTCACGGGGGTTATGGTGTGAGGAGACCAACAAGAGCTTCTGGCTTTTTCTAGCTGCTACTTCCTGTTGACCATTGACAGCCACTTTACCCGGCTTTGGTCCCCTCACCTTACTGTTTGAAAGGTATCTAATAATCCCCATTTCAGAGATTTATATTTAAATGAAGACATTTAGATGAGAACAATCAGGGTCCTCTTGCTAAATCTGAAGAATCCCGATGTTATCGTTGAAGCCAAGTGCTCCTTCCTGGCCACATGTGTCCCTTCTGATGAGAAGTTTATCCCTCTCGGTTCCCTGCCACAACTTCCAAGCTGCATGGGACACACCAAGACCCCTCTTCTAGGCTAAGACAGCACAGTGCAGCCTGGAGTTCAGGGTCTCAGCCTCTGCCTTCAGCAACGCCTCACTCCTCCTGCCCCATGAAGGGAGGACGGTTATTCTGCAGCAGGGCTGCTGGCACTGGGCCTGGAGGGGAGCCACTGTAAGCCTATCAGGCAGTCCAGAACCAGCACCTGTTCCACTGACAACAGCTAGAATTGTAAGAAAATGGCCACCAATGGAAAGAGCAGTAGAATAGTAAGGGATTTTTTGTTTTTTGGTAAAATTCCAAGGAAAATACAAGCAAAGCACTGCGAGCGTAATAATTTGCCGTTGCATGGACTAAGGGGTAAGGAAGGATGAACTGGTGTATTAAAGGAAATCCAGTTTCGTTCCCACCTATGAAGATTACTCAGGTTTATGGAGAGTTGTTTT
Source organism: Homo sapiens (assembly GCF_000001405.40). Lineage (NCBI taxonomy): Eukaryota > Metazoa > Chordata > Mammalia > Primates > Hominidae > Homo > Homo sapiens. Next base: position 230,139,832 of record NC_000001.11, read on the forward strand.
GCTTTGGGCTGTTGCGGAAATAATCTACTTGGAATGAAGTTCTTTCAGCTCCTGGGAACCTTTAATTGTCCTGTGGGCTGGTCATTCAGGTTGTACATCCACAGACTCACAGAATTGCGTAGCCCTGGGAGGAAGGGACCATAAAGATGAATCAGCCCAGCCTTCCTCAGACATCCTGCGACCACCCCAGGCCCAGAGAGGCTGTGCCTGGTCCAGGCTGCCGGGTCCCTGCGTCAGCTGTACTGGAACTGTCTGCTGAGTGCGCCCTCCCCCACGGGGCTTCTGTCTGCTTCTTGGACACCCCTTTCTTCCCCTTGGGGGTCGGCTTTTTAATGGCCAGCTCACCTCTGCCTGAGAGGAGGAATGAATCCCAAGGCTTGGGTTTAGGGGATGGCTCACCTCTGCCAGCCTGTGCTTCATGTTTGGAGACAGGTGATGGTTAACCAGGCAACAGTCCCTGCCAGTAGTGTGTACACAGACAGTAGTGTGGCTGGTAGGTTTGGCCAAGGCCTGGAGTTGGATTCCTACCCCTGCCACTGCCTGGCTCCACTGCCCTGGGCCAAGTCCCTGCCCTTCCCAGTGCCCCAGCCCCTGGACAGCAGTGCCTAGGTGACAGAGAGTGGTCCCTGTCCTACTGAGGGGATGGGAGCACAGTGGAGCGTGACTTCCCGTGAAGCTGCTGTCCGTTGCTATAGAAATCCAGCCTCGGAACCGGGAGTACTGTCAGTGGTGCTCGGGAAACTTCCCCCTTCCTCCAGCCTGTGCTTCCTGGAGTGACGCGCTGCCACAGCTGGAGGCTTCTCTGCAAACGTGTATTATGGTTTTATCTTCTCCCCTCCCACAATGAGTTCTGTCTGTGTCAAGTGTTTAGAGATCATTCGAACCTTTCTCCTCACCCCTCCCTTCCCCTTTTCCTCAGGGAAAAGCTTGTGCATAACTCAGTAGTAAATGAATTGTCTAAATCATGTAGCAAAACACAAAATAATGTGACTCCCAGTAGTATATGCCATTATACAACCCAGCTGTACAGTATTTCAGTGTATTCAGAGGACCTCTTTTCCATTACCAAGTGATAGTGTGGAAGGGAAGATACGTATCCTTTCTAGTTCTGAAATAGCTATATTCTTATTTTCTCTGCTTTTGTGTCATCATTGAAAAATTCCAGCATTCGTTGCAAATGTGTGTCTATTTTGAAACAAATGACAAACGAAACAAGAATGCATAGATCTGTAGGTAACCATGCTTAAAGACATTCTGTTTCTTCAAGGGGAATGTGAGTGAATGTGAATTGGATCACCCCACAGGAGATTAGTAGGAACTGATTTATTTTGTTGGCAACATTTGTTGACAGTGTGTCCTGGAGTCTTAATATTACAGCTGAAAGGAGAGATCCTGCCCATCTTAACACTGCGCAGAAGGGACTCGTACAGGCTCTGGCTCCAGACCCGGGCTGGGTTCCTTACTTTGTTTTTAATCCTTAAAAGTTGGTAAAATACATACATCATAAAATTTGCTGTCTTAACCATCCTTAAATTTACAGCTCAGTATCCTCACGCATCCACAGAACTCTTTCATCTTGCAAAACTGAAACTCTGTCTCATTAAACACTGACTCCCTTCTCCCCTCCCCTCCCCCTGGCAACCACCATTCTACTTTCTGTCTTCATGAATTTGACTCCTCTAGGTCCCTCATGTTAGTGGAATCATCCAGTATTTATCCTTTTGTGACTGGCTTATTTCACTTAGCATAATGTCCTCAGGGTTCATCCATGTTGTAGCGCGCGTCAGAGTTTTCTCCCTATTTAGGGCTGAATATTCCATTTTATGGTTAGGCCACATTTTGTTGATCTAGTCACCCATTGATGGACACGTGGGTCCTTATGGCTATTGTGAATAGTGCTGCTGTGAAATATGGGTATACAGATATCTCTTCAAGACCCCGCTTTCTTTTGTTTTCCTTTTTTTTTTTTTTTTTTTTTTGAGACAGGGTCTCGCTCTATTGTCCAGGCTGAAGTGCGTGCCACAATCATATCTCACTGCAGCATCAAACGCCTGGGCTTATTTTCCCGCCTCTGCCTCCCAAGTAGCTAGGATGACAAGTGCTTACCACCATGCCAGGCAAATTTTTTGTTTGTTTTTTTGTTAGAGACGAGAGCCTCACTGTGTTGCCCAGGCTGGTCTTGAACTCCTGGCCTCAAGTGATCTTCCTGCCTTGGCCTCCCAAAGTGCTGGGATTACAGGTTTGAGCTACCACCCCTGGCCGAGACCTTGCCACCACACTGCTTAATAAAAGGCTGGGCTGCATTTTGGGATTAGGACCTCCTGTGGAGGTGGGGGGAGGGTGGGGAAGGAGAACGGTGGCATCCCAGCCAGGAAGCATGAGGGATGGCATCCGTCCACCAGGCCACAGGAAGCATAAGGGATGGCCTCCATCCACCCGGCCACTTCTTTCCACATCAGCATTCTTCCGCACTTGGGCCACACAGGGTCTGCGAGAACTCCAGGTGGCTCTTAGAGTGGCACTGACCAAGTAGTCTGTGTAGGGGGACTCACTGTGCCCCCCATGCTCAGAGGCTGTATGGTGAAGTCGTTAAGGGCCCGGGCTTATATCCAGCCCCGCCAGCTGATCACTCTTGATCTGGGGCAAGTAACTTAACCTCTGTGTGCCTCTGTTTCCTCCTTTGTAAAATGGGGAAAAAAGTAGTACCTACCTCCTAGGGCTCTTCTGAGGGTGACCTGGGTTAATATAATTAAATATACCTAGTACGTGCATAGTAAGCACCATTTAAGTGTCTAGAACATTATGGGTAAAAATACGCCTGTGCTTTGGTGAGTCTGGAAGTCTAAAGTGTAACTTTCCTAAGCTGGTCGTTGCCTGCTCTGTTCACCTAAGTTCGCATGCTCATTTGCTGAATGCTGTCTGCATACTTGCTGGTCAGCTACTTCTTGTCCTCTGTCTTACTGTGGGGCCTGCGTGGGAAGGCTGGGTTTTTCTGAACACTTGCTTATAAATTATCCTCCTTCTGTTCATTTAAAGCCAGATGCTCTCTATGTGAGAATTGGCCCGTACCCTGGGAGAAGGTTTGAGCTCTCCTGGGTCCTGGGGGCCAGCAATTCCAGGAGAGCCATTTCCTTCCTGTGGCTGCTCTTCAGAGCAGCAGCCTGCAGGCTGGGCCCATCCCTGGTTCAAACTGTTTTTAGGGGAGTGGGCTGGAGAGCTGCCCAAGTCCATGTCTGAGCAGCTGGTGAAGAGAATGGTGCTGGCTCCTCTAGGCTTCTGGTACTCCTGGAGCCTGAGTCCAGAGACTGAACCTCCTAGTCCTTCCCTTGCAGTGGATTCTGGGAATTGGGGTACTGGGCACTGTCAGCCCCATTCCCTGTGAGCATCTGGGCTTTGGGCAGGGTCCTCACTCTCTCTGGCTTTCAGTTTCTGCGTGTGAAAAATCAGGGGAATCCGCAGCCTGAGAGCTTCTCTGGAAGGTGTAGTTAGTTTTTGGTAAGAGATGTCCAGTTGTTTGCAGCAGCTGCTAGGAATGAAATGCAGAACTGGAGACATTCGAGAGCAGAAGAGCAGAAGCAGCAACAAGGTGTGGTGTGTGCAGGTTCCACAGTCACACAGCACCGCTGCCCATCCTTCATGGGGTCCTGAAGTCCCATGCAGAACTGCGGGGTGGTCCTGCTGAAGTTCTTGTGGATGCTGCTGCTGACCTGTAAAGAGGCATGGCAGGTGCAGTAGGGGCCAAGGAGAAAGAGGTCGTCTGTCGGCCTGAACACTTCCTTGGTTTTTTCTTGGCTTTACGCAGCATGTTGCTTTTCACATGGGAAAGTGTCAGCCCCACGCTCTTATTAAAGCATTGAGTTCTTCCAGGCCTCTGTTGCTGCTCTGATAACTGAAAGGGTATTGTGCTTGTCTTTATCTGCCACACGCACGTGGGTGACATTGATGCGCCAACCAGATGCCCCCAGCTGTGACAGGCAGAATTTAACTGTCGCCCTGCTCAGCGATCACCAGCTCATCTTGTTTGTCCTGATGATGGTCCCTCCTGTTATTTGGCTGTTTGTCAGATATCAAGAATTTTCTTTGTAATTAGGCTTTAATTGCTAACTTTTAAATTCTAATCACTTTCAAAATAGCACTCTTTTAAATGGAGGTGACACATCTTAGGACATTCAGAACGATACCTCCTATATTTGCCAGAACATATTCCACTTACAAAAGCAGCACCTGCGAGTGCTTGACAGCTGTGTCGTGGGAGGTGGCTTGATGCAGATCCTCCTGGCCACACCTGGATCGGGAGGCAGAGCAGGTTGGGGTAGGAGACGTCTCCGTGCTGCCTTCTGGGCCACATGTCAAAGAGTTGACACTGTTATTTCACAACCCTCTCCCTGTATCTAGAGTGACCATGCTATTTAGTGTCCAGACCTGAGTGCTTTTGAGAATGAAAGGGGAAATGTTAATAATTACATGGAGACAGTAGTTAGTATCCAGAACATTTGTCCTGTTTTGTGCCTGAAACCAAGAAAGACTACTACACTCGGCTTCTCTATAACCAGAGGATCACAGAGCCAGCGTCACCCGCAGCACCAAATGATAAAAGCTCAGAGTAGCCGGTGCCTGCATGTGAAGGGCGGTTTGTGTTCCTCGCTACTGGAAGTAGGATTATGGTTGTAATAATTATGTCGACTTCAGTATTTTTTCCTTAAGAAAGTTTTATTGTGCCAACATCTGCAACAATAGACGCTGTATACTCTTAGGTACCAAGCACCCACCAGGATTTCGCCATGCTTATTTTGTCTTTTCCTGTTTATGCCTGTGTGTGTGTGGTGGGGAGTTAGGGGTGGTAGTGGTGTGTTTTAAAGCAAATCTCGGATGTTATTTTTCTTCTTGTGATGCTTACTTCAAAGTAAGTACCACTAACCTTGTGCCAGTGTTCTTATGTGGGGTGAGGATTAATTAAAGACTAAGGGATTTGAAGAGCAACTATAAAGTATTAAAAAGCCTGGGAGTAGGTGGTTGATTTGGGGCAGAGGTTATGGTGTTGCTGATACAGTGGCTTCTAAGCTTCTTGTGGGAAGGATGAGTTTATCTTTGGCAGCCTTCAGTGATCTCCCCGCAGGCCTTGAGGTGAGATGTGTAGTGATGTCAGGCTCCTCTCTTGCTTGGTAACCTACAAACCAAGCAAGGTGAGAGGCCCGGCGGAGCATCCCAAGGGTCTCCCGATGGCCACTCCAGAGCTGCGTCATCTGTTTTCTGCTGCAGCATCTGCAGGCTCTCACTCATCCCGTTACACTTAGAGCGACCCATGTGCCTGTGGGCCCCTCCTGCCTCAGTACCAAGACTGTCCTTGGCACCCCCTCCCCAACCCCATTCTCAGATCGCCCCCTGTGTTGCTTGTTAGCAGGCAGGTTCCAGTGCAGACTGGCCGAATCTGAATTTCTCAGTGAGCGTCTCAGAAATCTGCACTGTCAGCTCCCCTGACCCCTAAGTTTGTGGGGTTTCCTGGCCAGGCCTCAGACTCTGGCAGTCGGGCCTGGGCCTTCTGAGGGGGTTTGTCCTGGAAATCCTGTCTTCCCCCAAGGGAAGCTCCCCCAAAGGAACCCTTTTAGGTGTCTGGTGTTTGAAGCCAGTCCCCCATTTCCCTCTGTTTTTGTTGTTATCACATACTGTAGGGATGGTTGTAATAAATACAGACTTTTAGAGAATGCAGCCAACTTGGTGGTTCTCTGGGGATTCCTCCGCTGAGGTCGGGGCTTAGACATTTACACGGTTTTCTTTTGCCTTTTGAGATTCTTATCCACAGCTAGTTGGTTGAAAGCCACCCACCTTGGCATAGTGCCAATGGGGGCCTTGCCCCGTGTGGTGCCTGATGCAGCACAGCAGGACGTCAGGCAAGCCCAGACGTCAGGCAGGCCCAGAACGTCACCTGTCTTCTTGGTGGCAGTGGTTCCATCTGGACTTGGAAATACCATGTTTGAAACAAGGTCCCTGTAATTACTTAATTGTAAAGAAATGAGAGGTAGCATTTCGGCTTGCTTGCCTGCCTGCCCAGCCCCTCTGGGAAGTGTGCCTTTCAAAGATGCTCGCCGCTTGCATTTTTATTATCCTGTGATTAAGAGAGAAGACGTTGGTCCACTCCTTGTCCAGGCTGCTTTGGGCTGTAGTGGACCTGCTTCTGGTGTTCCTTGAGGTTCTGCTTTCTTGTGAGGGTTCTTTTTTCTCTCTGCTTCTTATTAATCTGTAGCTGCTTATGTTTTTTGGCTTGGCTAAAAATAAGCACTTTTCCTTCTTCCTCCTGGGTTAGGAGTGAAAAAGACAGTCTTTGTATTTCTGCTGTTTGGAGTTGGATGTGAGAAATTGATAAGCTAAAAGACTGTAGTTATTTTTCCCCTCCCTTTTCATGTATCTCGTTAGGGAGCCCTGGAGGAGGAAGCTTTGGGAGGAGTCCCGCGCCTTCTCTCCCGCACCAGGTCTGAGAACTTGTTCGCAGCTATTCATGTCTTATGTGTGCCTGGTCACCCCTCTTCCTCTTTCAGTTTTGTTTTTTTGTTAATAGCTAAATCACATTTCTGGTTATTTCCTTAATATGGACAGTATTTTCATTTCCTCTGGAGGTGTTGATCGGAGGCCACTGCCTGCCTCCCTTCCTGACCCGGTTGGAGTGAAGCAGGTGTGGGCTCAGAAAAGCCTGCTTGGGAAGCACTCCTGTGTTCATTTACAACTCAGCCACCTTATACCAACCATACACTGCACACTCAGTATTAGATGAGAAAGGAGCAAACTCGGCTCTCAGGGAGCTGGGGCATTTAGGAAAAGGAAACAAATTAGTATAGTAAGATGCATTAATGAAACGGCATTGGGACTAACCTGGAGGGATGGCCCAGGTTGCAGGGGGAGGGGTGGGAAGGAGAGAGGGCATAGGGTGGGTGTCGTGCATGTAAGTGAAATGGCATGCCAGGGGCTGCACGCACCTCAGAGCGGCCCCACGTGTTGGCGGGGAGGCGTTATGCTGGAAACGTGACCTGTGAGGAGGTTAGGTAAGAACCACGCAGGGTCCTGTATGCTGCAGTCCAGAGCTGGCTACCGCCTGCACTGTCAGATCTCGGTGTCTGTCCCGCTGGCCGCACTGTGTGGGAGTCGTGGCAGGGGACAGACAGGAGGCAGGTGGGCCACTAGAGCCCAGGTGAGAAGGGAAGCAGGCCTTCAGCTGTGGCAGGGTGAATTGGGAAGGAGGGGCCAGAGTTAGAGAAACAGGAGGCAGTGTCTGCATATCTGGCCAGCTGGTGAGATGTTGGGGATGAGGGGTGGGCAGTGCCAAGCTGGGGGAGATTTCAGACCATGATTCTCAAAAGAATGCTCTCTGATTTGACAGCATCCTCAATTTGGAGGAATTACCTTTGTGTTCCTTCCAAGATGTTGTCCCTGGACTGATGAACTGAAACCCTTTCCTCTGGCATTTTCTAGTTTCCAAGATCGACCGTGAATTATAAAGACTTCATTTTATTCAACATTCATTGTGTTCAAACCTTCTAGCTGAAAGCCGCCTACTTTGGGGTTAAGGTGTGGGTTTGCCTATATTCACTTTGCTGTCCTTGACTCTTGGCCAACATTCCTAGAGCCCCTGCCACGGGACTGCTGTGGGCTGAGACTGGTGTCGCCTCTCCCTTGAAAGCATGGCCTGCTCTGCCGTGTGCCTGGCTTGGCCACTGGTTCTCCTTTCCTGGTCCCGCGGGGGCTTTTCTTTTCTTCTCTGTTGTAAAATAATCTCAGGCCAGGGCCACTCCTGGCCTACTCTTCGATTCTGCGAACAGTGGCTGGCTAGTGGTGTGGCCACATTCCCCTGCAGTGGTTGAGGCTAAACAGTCACTGTTGAGAGAAGCTGCCTTCCTCCTCCAAGAGTCCCTCCTTCCTGCCCTGTTGCCCTCTTCCCGTTGAAGGAGAGCTTCTGTCTCCTGAGTGAGGGCCTCAGCTCTGCCTGTGGGTCACCTCTGGCTCCCAGCCTGGAAGGCATTGCAGGCTTCATGAAGAGAGCTCGTCTTTAGCTGCTATTTCTAAGCATGATTGCTTGTTGGAGGTTGGCAGTGGTAGATGCTCCTAGCACACGTCCACACCTTCAGGGCAAACGCTCTGTCCCCAGACACTGTCCCTGTTTAGTTAGTTTCCTAAACTATGATCACTCAGCAACCTCGAGGATAGTCACTGTATTATTACATACAGGTGCAGCCCTCTTACATACCTGTGTGTGTGTCCAGCCCCACTGGACACATGCCTCCCACTTGCCCACACTCTTCCCCATCCCGCTTTAAAGCTTCAAATCTGAAAAGACAGTGGCGCTGCGTGGCTGAGAGCCACGAGGTGGACTTTAGGTGAAGGGCTGCCCACCGGCACAACCAGATCAGTGGCCAGCTCGGGGCGTGCACAGTGCACTCAGAGGGAGAGCCCTGTGGCACTGCGTTATTTTCCTCCTAGAGCTGAAGCCAGAAACCTGATAGGGAAAGGGGGCGTTTTCAGGGCTGGAGTAGTTCAGCACAGTCCCTTCCTCACTGTGGACTCCTTTTCTAAATCTGCAAGTCACAGGTAACCTGGGTGCATCCAACAGGTCCCACAGCCCTGGAAAGCCCTCGTTTAACACAAGTGCTCTCTGTCCTTGCTGCAGAGGCGGCTCCACGCCTTGCTTCTAGCGGTCCCTCACTCGCCTTCCGGAGTTAACTCCAGGGTGTGGGTCAGCCTTTTCAAGGGGTTTTGTTTTCTTTTTTTTTCTTTCTTTCTATTTTTGTTTTTGAGACAAGGTTTGTTGCCCAGGCTGGAGTGCAGTGGTGTGATCACAGCTCACTGCAGCCTTGATGTCCCTGGGCTCAGGTGATCCTCCCACCTCAGCCTTCCGAGTAGCTGGGACTACAGGTGTGCACCACTATGCCCAGCTAATTTTTGTATTTTTAGTAGAGACAGGGTTTCGCTCTATTGCCCAGGCTGGTCTCAAACTCCTGGGCCCAAGAGATCCACCCACCTCACCCTCCCAAAGTGTTGGGATTACAGGCATAAGCCACCATACCCAGCCCCACTCCTCCCCACCTTTTTTTTAAACAGGGCCTCGCCCTGTCACCCAGGCTGGAGTGATCACAGCTCATTGCAGCCTTGACCTCCTGGGCTCAAATGATTCTCCTGCCTCAGCCATCTGACTAGCTGGGACCACAGGCACGTACCACCACGCCCAGCTAATTTTTGCATTTTTTGTAGAGACGGCGTTTCTCCATATTGCCCAGGCTGGTCTCGAACTCCTGGGCTCAGGCAGTCCACCTGCCTCAGCCTCCCAAAGTGCTGAGATTACAGGCGTGAGCCACTGAGCCTAGCCTACTTGTTTAATTCTTGATTGCTTGATTTCAGAAGGTGCTGCTTCTGCTTTTATGGCTCCTGAAGTCATTTTATGGTCTTGACCTTGTCTCTCCTGGAGCGGGTGGGAGGACATTGCGAGGCCACCTAGATTGGACTTGTGTGGTTGAGCACTGGGTTCAGGAACATCCCTGGAGGGTGGGTGATGGTTGCTGCCTGCTTGCTGTTTTATAGGGTGTTTCTCTTACAGGCTGCCAATAGCTTGGTGGTTTGAGCATCCTATTATTGCAGTGATTCTTAGGTCTGGCGTTGAGGGCAGCAAGATTTCTGCCTAAACATAGTCCTTCTCTGTAGTAGTGATTCTAGGATGAGCCACTGTAGACAGGGGCATGTATTGAGTGCAACAAGCGGTTGAGGGACCTTAGATTTTGAGGGTTTTTAAAAACCGCCTGATTGGTTTGTGTGCGTCCTGCCACAGTGTTACCTAGGTGGGCTTAATGAGGTGGGAGTGGGCTTTTTGTTTTGTTGTTTTATGCCTCAGCCATGTAAATATAAACAGATACATTGAATCATTCAATGTCCAGAGTGGGAAATTACAGCCAAGCCCTCCTCACTTTTAGAATAGCATGGCGTGAATAACTGCAAAACCTCCCTCTGGTCTTTCCTGCCTCTTTAAGAGTTCTGTCTCCAGAGACTGGCAGAGCCGTCTCTGGGCAGATTTGCCGAATTGTTTCAGCAGGGCTTCTCCGGTGGCCATCAGATCAATTGATCTTGACACATGGGGTGCCTCTGAGGGCTTCTCACTCTTGATTTAATTCTCAGAAACGCTTCTCAACACCGTTGGTGTCTTTCTTAATTATACCATAATAGAGGTTGACAGCCACACAGTATGATGGACCCCAGGGTGAGGATGGCTGGGTGGGCTTGTGGGGCTGCTGAGGCAGAGACCTAGGAGGGTGCTCTCCATTCCTGGATGCGGAGCCCATGAGTGGCTTAAAAGACATGCACTGGCTCCGCCCTGGGGCCAGGAGAGCCATCGCCTGCTTGGTGACTGCAAAGCTGCCTACCTCCGTGTGCTGCCGTTTTTCTGTACCGAAGCTTCCCTCTTTACCTCACCATAGGAAGCCTGAGATGTAACACTCAGAAGAGGCTTGACAGGCTTGGAATCAAAGGCATGACTTCATACATCACCCAAGGTGTCATATTTCTTCTCAGAAACTTATATTTGGATAAAACAAAAATCCTTTTTCAACCTTTGAAACGGTTTCCAACAGCTGCTTTAAAAAGACATAGTACAACAACTCCTTCCACTTCCTCTTTCTGCCCGCTTTGTTTTTGTCCGCAACCTTTGCAGAGAAGTGAATGTCTCTGTTAGAGTTGGAGTTGGAAATTGGGGAGGGATGTGTGACTTGATTCTGAAAGGAAAGTCTCATCTCTTTGGTAGAGCATTTTTGTTTTGTTTGTTTGTTTTTAGACCTTAAGCTCTACTTATAATTCTGTCTAAGACACCTTTGTGGAGCAGTTGGAGTGCCTGGCTCCTCATTAGAGAATGCGCTGCGACATTCAGCCTCTCCTTGGCCTTCTAGGATGGCGGGAGGCACAGACACACACTCCTTTTCCCACCCAGGGATTTGGCGTTCAGAATGGGGGCTTTGACTGCTTGGCCCTGACTGTGCAGTTTTCTGGATGGAAGCCTGCTGTCTTCTGAGCACAAAGGAATCCATCGTTTTCTTTGCTTCCCTAAGGAATCTATTTTCCCAGTGGCAGAGCAACTTAGAGAATTCCCAGCCAGGGCCACCATTCTCAACTCCTCAGGACGAGGCTGGTGCACCCGGCATGCAGGTGTCTGTAACTTTGTGTGACTTGTTGAACTCTTTCCTATTTAAGGTGCACTACCTGGGTTGCCTGGAGCACAATATTCTTCCTCTTGTGGAAATATGTTCAGGATCTTGTGTGGTGTCCTGGGTTTGATTTTATAGCTTTGCCAACATAATGATTACAGTTGACGATCACCGTGGCCACCGTTGTCTTTTCCCTCCATTCCCCTGCAGCTTTCTGGACCTCCGGGATGTCCTCCTGGAGGGAAGGCCCCTGGAGAAGTGTCCCAGTAGAACGCACTGTTGTGTCACTTGCTCTGACCACCGTTGACATCGCAGCACAGCGCTGCACACCCGTGACAGGGTGATGGTAGAAGATGAGGGTCGGATTGTCCACGTAGTGCCTCCAGGAAGCTCAGGATGATGGCCAAGCCAGATATGTAAGGTGGCTTTGGGGCACAGGATGATGCCCTCGAAGTAATGCATGGTCTAGTTGTTTTGTAAACAGTGCTGTTTCCTGAAGAAGCAATGATTTTCTGACTACCCGGCCTCCCCAAGATAGCCCTGGGAGGAGAATTTCTGATTCTCTCTACAGCAGTGCCTTCTTCTGTAGGATCTCCCCACATGTCCCTGTGCCCACCACGTAAGCTAAGGAAGGAAAGCAGAGCTCCTCAGTTCATTGATGGCTTCAACTACAGATGAACCAGTGTTACAGGAAAGGGGTCCCGATCCAGACCCCAAGAGAGGGTTCTTGGATCTCGCTCAAGAAAGAATTCAGAGCAAGTCCGTAGTGCAAAGTGAAAAGTTTATTACAAAAGTAAAGGAATAAAAGAATGGCTGTTCCATAGACAGAGCAGCCTCGAGAGCTGCTGGTCGCCCATTTCTATGGCTATTTCTTGATGATATGCTAAACAAGGGGTGGATTATTCATGCCTCTCCTTTTTAGACCATATAGGGTAACTTCCTGACATTGCCATGGCATTTGTGAATTATCATGGTGCTGGTGGAAGTGTAGCAGTGAGGACGACCAGAGGTCATTCCTGTGGCCATCTTGGTTTTGGTGGGTTTTGGCCGGCTCCTTTACTGTAGCCTGTCTTATCAGCAAGGTCTTTATGACCTTATTTTGTGCCGATCTCCTATCTCATCCTGTGACTTAGAATGCCTTAACTGTCTGGGAATGCAGCCCAGTAGGTTTTAGCCTCATTTTACCCAACTCCTATTCAAGATGGAGTTGCTTTGGCTCACATGCCTCTGACAAAAGTAAAGCTCTCAGGGGGCTCAGGCTGATGGGTTCCCTTTTACTTCTTTGAATCCCCAGTCGGGCTTGGAACCATGGCCTGTAAGCGCATCCGACACTTGGCTAGAATCTCGAACCTGACTCTTTCAAAGATGAGGGCAAGGTTTTTCAAATTGTAAGTTGTGACTCAGTAGATCATGAAACTAATAGAGGAGAATAACATCAGTATTCATGATGAATAATTAAATAGAAAATACTGGAGCACATCATACATGTAAGAGTAGGTACCCTTTTATGACACCGTATGTGGATGGATGGGCGTGCATGTATTTATATAACGTATATATTTAAATACATGGTTTGGGGGATGGATGTCTACATCAAATTTATTTGTTACTATGGGTTTTGGCAAAAAAGTTTGAAAGCTGCTAGGATAGTGCATAGCCAGGAGGGAAATAAGAAGAAGCTATGAGAGAACTAGATAATCCTTCTCCTACACAGACTCGTGTTTTGTGTGAGTGGGACACTCCTCAGCCTGCGTCCACTCTCAGGTAGCTTCCTCTTTGAACCGCTTGTCATTGTGAGGCAGTGACCATCTGCGCCAGCCCTGTCCTTGGCTCTAACGTGATGTTCATTTGCTCACCTTTCTTGGACTTCCTTTGCTTCCTCAGGCTTTAGCTTCTTGCCCTGCTGCCTGTATCTATGGCCTTCTCTCTGGCTGTGGTTTAGGGAAAATCACTCCATCTTTCTGTGCCTTCAGTGTGTTTGTCCACTGTGAGTGAAGCATAATCAATACTTGGTGACTTGGCTAAACTGCGTTCAGTCCTTCTGAATACTTATTTACATTTTATTTATTATTTTTATTTTTAGAGATGAGGTCTTACCGTGTTGTCCAGGCTGGAGTGCAGTGGCGTGATCATGGCTCACTGTAATCTCAAACTCTTGTGCTCAAGCGATCTTCTTATCTCAGTCTGTGGAGTAGCTGAGACTATAGGCCTGAGCCACTGCCCCTGGCCTGAATACATTTAAATGAGATAAAATTAAATGAGAGAATGAAAATGAATAGGCCCATTGCCATGCCTGAGACAAACTCAGATGTCTGCTAATGATCGGTTCTTTTCTCCTTACATGCGGGAGTGTTTCTGTAGTCAGACTGGACACCTACACACTTAAACAGTCATTGATGGGGGGTCAGCCTTCAACATTTTAAGGGTCTCTTTGCGTTTTTAGTTTTATTTTTAATCACAGTAAGCACATTTTCATGTATTAGAGAAAAAGAAAAAACACCCATAATGCTTTCTGTGTAGAAGCAAGCATTACAGTGGCCTTGGTGGTGTTTTTTGAAAGGGCTGGGGAATTAATTCATCGAGAACATCTGAGGACGCCTTCCAGATTCACCAATCATCAGGCCCCTAAGTACCCTTCCAGCCCCACGCCCCTGAGTTCTTTTCATGATTCCAACCCAGAGGTCTCAGTTGTGAAAAGTTTCTTTTGTCAGACACAGTGAGCTCAGTCTGTCTGGCCGAGGCCACTCCGCTCTTGGAGATGGATTACAGCCTTTGTTCCCACTCCTGGGCCTCCTGGCGTGGCCTCGGGGGCCCCTGGTTGGTGGCACTCACCATTCACTCTGTGGAGGGGTCTGGTGGAACTGATATGTTCATAAAAGCTACTGGTAAAAACAAAACAACAACAAAAAAGCTACTGGTGCCCAGTGCCTCTTACAAACTCTCATGCAGATTTATCGTGTGGGTCTGTCTGCGTGGGTGTCTACCTTATAAAGACTCAGAAATGGTTTCTCTTTTCACCCATTGTTTGGAGAATAATAAGTCTCTGTCAGATTAGCTTCTTGGGGCCTCAGTGCTTTTTGAAAAGAGCTTGCATAATCAGTGTCTGGTGAGCTGTGAGGCCAAGAGCATATTGCCATTGTGCAACGGGGATGTGGATTTTGTACATTTTCAATATTTCACCATTCAGTCTTGTCAGAAGTCAAGCTGCCGTCCACCCTGCACTTGCAGTGGAGACATAGGCCCTTCGTCCACAGTGGATAAGTTTTTCTCCACGTGGGCCACATTCTTACTAGAAAAGAAACCCCGGCCCTTTAGCTCATCACCCTCTGCTCTGGCTTTCCCCGAGTTGGTACAGAGCTGATGCCGTTGGTATTTTTAAGAAATAATCTTGAGTCAGAAGGAATGTGCCAAACCGGCACAGGTGAGAGATCTCTGGACCCCCTTATATTTGCCTATTCTGCCCCTTCTGAGAAATTTCTGGGAGAGAAGGTAGTATTATGGGACAATGAAGCCCTAACCCCCAGGACCTCAGAATGTCACTTTATTTGGAGATAAGATCTTTATAGATATAATCAAATTAAAATGTGGTCGTCAGCATGGGCTCTAGTATGACTGGTGTCCTTATGAAATGGGGGATTCAGACAGAGCCAGACACACGTGGAGGGAAGACAGTGACAAGAGAATAGACAACAGGCACCACCTCTAAGCCAAGGAGAGAGGCCTGGAACAGCATCTTCCCCCATGGCCCTCGGAAGGAACAAACCCTGTCGCCCCTTGAGCGCAGACTTCCAGAACTGTGAGAAAGTGTGTTTCTGTTCCTGAAGCCTCCCAGTTTGTAGTACTTTATTATGGCAGCCCTGGCATACTTACTCAGGTAGTCTCTGTCAGGTTATTTATAACTCACCTTATCACATTGGTAACTTGTGGTTTTATCATTTGGCATGACATCCAAGGCCCCTTGCAGTTCTAATATTTACGTACTAGCACTTAAAAAGACTTTCTCTGACCACAGGGTCTTTGCTGGATGGGGTCTTGGTCTGGGGCTGGGGCTTTGGTTTCCAAACATCAGGGTCCTCCCAGATGAGGCTGCCCCGCGCCGCATGCACCCCCCACCCCGTTTCCGCGTGCAGTTTTCTGCGGAAGTATTTCCCAGGTCCTCGGTTTCCCTTCTGTGTGAGAGCGTCACTTTCTCTCACATCTGTGGAGCGGAAGTCCTGAGGCAGTCACCGTTTGGGGCCTGCATGGGGTTGTGAGAGCCCTTGTGCTGGCTCCTGCCCGCCCTGTTCTTCGTTGGCTGCCTAGGGCTCCCTGCAGGTTTTCGCTCGGAGGTGGGCCCTGCCTGCAGCCGCTGACCTCCGGGAGAGACCGGCCTCTCCCTAATTATAGCTCATCTCTTAATCCCGGTCATCATTTCAGCTGGCTGTCCTTGAACTGAAAATTGGAATACAATTCAACCTGTAGCTGTTTTAAAAACTGCCTTATTCAGAGAGGGTCAAGATAAAGAAATTTTAGCTTCTTTCAGGATCTTCCAAAACAGATCAGGAATGACTGAATCAGGACAGGGTCTCCTCCTTTGGGGCTGGGAGGGACAGGGCAGGACTCTCCCAGGACAGTCCCATGGGCAGAGCTAGGTTTTGTGAGGACTGGAGCTTTTGTCATTTGAAGACCATTTCTAAGAGAAAGAGTGATTATAACCCCAAAACTGGGCTCCCAAGTGCATAGCACAAAGGACCCCACAGAAGATCACAAATGGCCCATCCTGACTGGAAGAGAGAGATTAGATTGAGGGCCAGGTCGTGAGGGCACTCTGAGGGTCGCTAAGACATTCGGCGTCAACCTCCAGTTCACTCAGGAGTTCTGAGTGGAGGACAAAAGCCTTGCTTTAAAAGGACTAATTCTGTAGTGATTTTGCCACATGGAGAGGGGAGGGAACTATTGTGTCAGATCAGGAAAACCATGGGATCAGTGCTAAGGGCCTGTGTGGTGGGCTCTGTCTGGGTGGGAGAGACTGTGTCCTGGTCATGGGGCTCAGTCTGTGGGTGGGTGATAGAAGAGTAAAGCTTTTGTGTTTTTAGGGTGGGGAAGAGAAGAGAGAGTCATTGATTTTAGATACAAGTGGAATACCACGTAGACCTGGCCTCTGGGTGGTGATGACCTTCTGGGGTTGATGTCTGGAGACGGTGCGGTTTTGGGATGGGGGAGCAGACGAGGGAGAGAGAGAGAGAGAGAGAGAAAGAGAGAGAGAGTGTGTGTGTGTGTGTGTGTGTGTTTTACAGCAAAGACCTGGATCCTGAATCTTGGGGAGAAAACTCCTTGCATTGTACATATTGGGCTGGTTACATGGCTGAAGTTCACCGTGTCATTTTAGGCCTGTTTCTGGCTTCCACACTGGTTTGCAATGTCATCCTAGGGAAGTCAGCTTGTCCTTGGTAGGATATATTCATTGGTGAGTTCACTCAAGAGACTCCTTTTTGCGTTTCTTTACCTTCAACGTTCGTTTCCTAAAATTGATTATTCCTTCATAAAGTTGCCAGCATTTTCAACATGCTTCCTAGATGCTGGATATTTTATTATCGTTTGTCACGGATCAATTTATTTTTTTGGCCCTTAAACTATCACATTTTCTGCAGTTAAATTTGCTTAACTTTCTAATGCAGGGGCAGAATGTAACCTGCAGGTTGTGGCTTTAGAAAGCAATGTGGAACTCGGGGCCATGGTAAGCAAGTTGGTGGTGGTTTTTTTTAATAGCACATCTCATCCTTTGATGTCAGAACACTGTCTACACACTCTGATTCATTTCAGTCAGTCCCTAAAATGTGAAGATGAAATGTTGGGGAGACAGATCCTCTGGCCTGAGGAAGCTAGCCGTCTTGTTTGGGAGATAAGAAACATCAACTGTTTTGAAAATACTTTGGTTCTATCATTAGAGAGCTGATCAAGTGCAGTAAGAGGCAAGGTCAGACTGGGCTGTATTATGTTTTGATTTGGAGAAACTATCACGAAAGAGGTAACATTGAGTCAGAGCCTGAGAGAATTGTGGAGAATCCCTGCAGGAGTAAATAAGACCATCCCAGGAGGGCTCTCATTTAAGGCCTCGTGTACTGTGGTCATTTGACCTTGGTTCAGATGCCACTTCAGTTTAGATGCATTTAAAAGCAGAGAAAACATTGGAACTTACTGTGTAGTATTGAGTGAGCATTAATTGAGATGTGTGTGAACCATTGAGCATGATACCTGGCGTGTCGTAAGCACCATTATAGCAAACTTATAGAAAGCTGCATTATGTCACTATACACCTAGGGGAGTGGCTTTGGGGGGAAAAAAAGCAAAAATGCCACCAAGTACTGGCAAGGACATAGAGCAGCTGGAACTCTTATCCCTTGCCAGTGGGAATGCAAAATGGTACAACCACTTTGGAAAATAGTTGAGCAGTTTCTTATAAAGCTAAACACATGTTCTCATACAACGCAGTAATCCCACCCTTAGATATTATCCAAGGGAAATGGAAATTTATGTGCTCTTGGGATTCATAATGGCATTATTCATATTTGCCAAAACTGGAAACTACGTAACTGTCCCACGACTGGGGAATGGATGAACAAGCTGTGGTTTGCGTACATGGTGGAATGCAGCATGTGGCGGGATACCTCCTGCAGTGGAAAGGAGACAAGCACGGTTCACACAATGTGGATGGATCTCTGTACATTATGTGCATTAAGAAGCCAGGTCCAAAGGCTACATACTGTATACTTCTATTCATATGACATTCTGGAAAAGGCAAAACTACAGAGAAAGCAGATCAAGGATTGCCAGGGGCTGGAGAAGAGAGTTAACTACAAATGTACTCAGGGGAGTTTTGGAGGATGGTGGCACTGTTCTATATCTTGATTGTGGTGGTGGTTGCATGACTATATGCAGATGTCAAAGCTCCCAGATCTGGATACTAAGAAGAGTGAATTTTACTGTATGTAAATTATACTTTTAATTTAAAAGCAGAGAAAAAAAATCATAAGCCAAGTCAGGGAAGTGAGAAGGATCTTGTTGTATGTGGAGAACCGTCATGGAACAGGCCAGAACTGAGCACAGATCAGGTTGAATGGGTAGGATGAACTGTGACTCCAGAGGCATTGAAAGGGAAATGTTTGCATGGGGCGTGGTGGAACACAGAGAGCCCTCGGGAGGCCCGGGTAGCAGGGGGGCAGGATGAAGGGGGCATTTCGTGTTGTGTGAGGGATGAGTAGCGTGGGGAGATGAGGCCAGAGGTTCCAGCCAGGAACTAGTGCAGTTCTCTAGTCTGTAGATAAGGCCTGAACACAGCAGTTGGTTGTAGGATTCTGGAGAGACTGGAGCTTAGACCTGATTACATTATATATGCACTGTCTTTTCTCAGAGATGGGGAAACTAAGGCATGAAAACATTAACTTTTATTTTGGAAAAAAGCTAAACATAGAAGTAAGAGGGAGGCCTCCTGAGGCACTTTGCCAAACTTTATGCACAGCAACTATGACCTGCAAAATCTTTTTAGCCTGGGCTCCCTCTCTTGACCTGAGACTCTTCCAGGGAGCCTGGTATCCACAAGAGTGGAAGCAGCTGGTCAGGGCCACGGAACTGGAGATGCCCCATGGGACAGAAGGCCTGGGGCTCTGGCAAAGTGTCTTGTAAGTGTTCCTGTCATTTCCCTCCACGTAAACCAAGTCAGGCTTGCAAATCAGCAGCCTTTCAGGTCCTTTCTCTCCTTCTGGAAGCTCTTGCATGTTGCAACCCCCTACCCACCCCGCCACCTCCCATCACAGATAAAGATTTTGTACCATCAGCCTGCAAGTGAGTTGGATGAATGCCATCTGAAAGGCTTTGTTCGTTTGCACACGAGGTCGTGAATAGCTGGCAACAAAGAGGATTGAACCTTGGACCTAGTGTGTCTGAGCAGTGCCCCAGCCCCCATGCCGCTTTGGATTTCAGTGGCCTCTGCAGCAATTTATTATTCTTACATCAGATGTTTGAAGTAGGTGAAGGGGCAGGTGGCATGTGTCTGGTGAGGTTGCTGACACTGCTTTTGGATGAGAGAGAGAGTAGTGGTTGAAACAGAGCATTCAAAAAAGCGTACACTTTAACCTGTAATCCGCAAACATTCCTTTGAGTTTACCCAGCCGTGGGAAAGGACGCTGTACCCCTGCCCTATTGGCTGCACCCTTTGCTGTTGATGTGAGGCTTTATTTACCTGGGAATTGACAGGGTTTTGGTCCATGATTGCTCCTTTCTCCGCAATCACATTTAATGCCCATGATATCTCATCTTTGCACACGAAGGCAAAGCCTTCTACTGCTTTTTCTCTTAAAGTGTTCAGCACTCCCCTGAGTTTATTAGAAGGATCAGAAGAAAGAGACCCTGAGTGTGAGGCTAGGTCAACCGGAGAAATTCACCCAATTATTTCGTTTCTTTGTTTGGATCCCTGCTTTTCATTTCTACCTATTCTGAAAGAGAGGCTTAAAACTAAAGTCCGGTTAGTTGAGGATCAGATGTGTCATACTTTTCTCAGAGGGGAGGGGACGGTCACTTTGCTCTAAGTTTGGGCCATGAGGTCCACACTGAGCCTACATGGGGTAGGGGGAAACCGTGAAGTGTGCAGTGACCTGAGGGTGCCAGATCACCCCGAGCCGTTGTGGTTCCCACTGGGCAGGCTGTACGTGGTGAAGGTGATAGACTGCATGTCTCATGCAGGCCAAGTGCCTGTCGGTCAGCTTGAGGGAGAAGATACCTTGTCTACCTCCCCCCACCTGCAGGCTGGCTGGCTTTGGGTGCAATGACCCTCCTCTTCCTTGAATCGCTGTTTCATTGTGGACCTGTTGGAAGTGCCAGCTTGGCTGGCCTTTGGCTGGATCCCTGTTTGCTAGAGCTTTGTTCCTACTCTGGAGGAGTCAGCTGCTGTGCCTTCTGGGACTGCCAAGAGTTGCCAAGGGGAGTGGGGAGTCCTCTCTGTGGGGTGTCGTCTGAATCCAGCAGCCGCACCACCCAGGTGCTTCCCTCCTCCCCACTCCTAGGCCAATGTCCTTAGTTTCTGCTCACTGATCAGACGATTATCCTTCTCCAGGATGACCACCATCATCTCATAGTCCTTCCTCACTCCCTTCCATGAAGTGCTTCTCCAACCCATTGTCTCTGTCATAGTGAAATGATTCTACTGTTAGTATCAAGATTTTCCACTAGTGCTAATAACAATCCCTGATGTTATCAAACATGTAGGATGGGCCAGGCATTGTACCAGGTGTCTACAGAAATCCTTTGTGCTGACTGTTGACCACTATCCCCATTCTGTAGGCGAGAGTGAGCCTTAGGAAGGGCGTTGGACGTGGCCAGGATCACACACCATGCCTTGCACTCACCTCTGATCTCTGAGGGCCAGGGCCTCCCTGTATACAATGATCTCTGCATCTCTTCTTCCTAGCAGAAGACTCAAAAGAACTTTCAGATGTGGGAGGCCAAGGCAGGTGGATCACCTGAGGTCAGGAGTTTGAGACCACCCTGGCCAACATGGTGAAACCCCGTCTCTACTAAAAATATAAAAAAATTAGCCGGTCGTGGTAGTGGGCGCCTGTAATCCCAGCTACTCAGGAAGCTGAGGCAGGAGAATTGCTTAAACCCAGGAGATGGAGGTTGCGGTGAGCCAACATGGTCCCACTGCACTCCAGCCTGGGTGACTGAGTGAGACTCCATCTAAAAAAAAAAACACGAAACTTTCAGATGAATAAGTTGGTTCTATCAGAGATGGCTCTTAAAGCTCAAAAGCTGTTTTAAAAAGCCCTGTGGATGCGCAGGCTCTCTTAGACCCTTTTTCTGTGTTACAGAAGGGGATATAATACCCCAAATAGGGTTTTTTTTGGTACAAACTGTGGATAGTACTAGATTTTGCTCCATACAGAGTCCTGTTGACTGAACTGCCCTTTCATGTTGTGTCTCCAGTGTTTTTATGGGCAACAGCCATATACAGTCTACTTCCTATCTATTGTGAAGTTGTTGTTGAGGATTTCCTGTATTATTTCACTCTGCATTCATGTCTCAGTTACCTTTGATCCCTAGCAAACTGTCCCAAGTGGAATGGCCTAACCCAGGAATGATGTATTATTTCTTACAGTCCTGTGACTGTCTGGGCGGTCCTTTTGCTAACTTCCCCAGGGCTCACGTGTGCCTTGTGGTCAAGTGATAGCAGCGTTGGCTGGCTGGTCCAAGGTGGCCTCACGTGTCCTATAGTATTTGCTAGCTATTGTCTGGGGCTCCTCAACTCTCCACATGCCCCAGTAGCATAGACCAGCTTCCTTACACCATGGTGGTCTCAGGGCAGCATTCTAAGAGGGCATGTCCAATGTGCAGGTGTGTATTAAGCCCCTCCTTGCCTCGTGGTTGCTGGCATCCAATTGGCCAAAGCAAATCACATGGCCTAGTCCAGAGGCCGACTCCAGCTGTCTGTGCAGACGTGGCAAAGAAATATGGCCACTTCCAATCCACTGCAGTCCAGTCCCCAAAATCCATTCTTTTCATGGCACATTTTGGAATCTAGCAGCTGAATTTCAGTCTCTCTTAAGATACTCATGACTTTATTTGGATGGTGAGCATATGGTTGGTTGGAGCACAGGCTTCAAAGTCCAGCCTGAATTGAGATTCTGACTTGCTCTCTGACCATTGTGCCTTTGGCGGGTGACTCACATCCATTTCTTCATCTGTGAAATGGATATGATGATACTTGCCTTCCTGAGATTGTTGTGAAGTTAATTGAGACTATACATGAAGTCTCTGGGCCATAACTGATCTCATTACACCTTAATTCTTGTTTCTATTACTTATTTTACTTCTGTCTCTGGGAAGTTCAGAGTTTAAAAATTCAACTTGACCACAGCATCTTTACTTGGTCATTTCTGCAACCACCATGTTCCATTTCTTTTGTGTTTCTATTTAGATCTTTTGTTTTAAGCTACCCAATCCTTTTTGGAATAATATGGGGTATTATTAAAGTAAGACTAACCAGCAAAATTCTGTAAAAATTAAAAAAAAAATCTTGGCGCTTCCAGTTCATTGGTTTTGCTGGTAAGATTCAGGATTATAGTACTGTTGAACAAGCTTGTATAGACGTGAATGAGTTTCCACATTCTTATAGATTTGACTCAAGTGATCTTTGCAGATTTTCACAAGCACTGAAGACTAACCAGCCTTCCTTTAAGTCTCCCAGCACTTAATTCATCTGGTCCAACACATGCCGGGTTCTTCAGGGTGTTAGGATGAAGCTCCTGTATCTGATCACCTACCATATTCCACACATTTTCCATACACTCTTTCTCATCCTCTGAGAATTTAGCATTCCGGGTGATGCTACTAAGATGGATGAATAATTTATAAAGTTTTAGAATTCTAAATATAGTTCTTTCTAGTTTCCCTTAGGGTTCAGAAAACAATATCCCAAAATGAAGGCCTCAGAAGCAAAAGTTTTTCACTTTCTCCTGCCCTCCAGCTGCCAGTCTCCTTCTCCCCAAGGCTGCCCTTAGAAGCTAGATTCCCTCCATAGAAGCTAGAATCCCTCTTCCCTAAAACAGGTCCTAGGAACCAGAACTTGCTTTCCCCAAAGCCAGCCATCAACCCTGAAAATGCAGCTCTAACTTTCCCTCTGCCTTGCTATGTAAATACTGTTTATAAAAACAGTATGTGACTTAACTGTTTGACTGTAGGTCATAAGACCCACCCCTCCACTCCATTCCAGAGAGGGTCTTGCCCCAACCCAGAATGAAGGAATGCTGCTCAGAGAGGCTGAGAAGAATCTAGATGGACAGGCCTTGCTGGGCTTCCCCACTCGGTCTGTTGGCATTGGAACCTACCATTTTTGTCCAGTCACATTTCCACATGACTGTCCATACTGTGTTGAACTTAAGCATGAGAATGGACAATTTCCCCTGTAACTTTGGGTCTTCATTCTGATGGCTCCTGTGTGTACACATTAAATCAATGTGTATGCCTTTTCTCTAATTAATCTGACTTTTTCGAGTTGAGTTTTCAGTGAACCTTCAGAGGGTGATGGGGAAAGTTCTCCTTGACCCCTGCATTTCTAAGTCAGTGGACACGTGAATCTTTGGCTTACAGAAAGATAAGAATCAGCTAAACATGTTCTTTGAAACTCCGCATTAAAACAACAACAACAACAACAACAACAAACTTTTGTCAAAGGAATTGTTAAATCCCCCAACCTTCATGTGCAGTGAGGTGAGATCCAGGCCCCACTTGGAACAAGTTCCATGGAGTGCGCACATCTTGTGGGCCACTGGCCACTCCTGAATTCCATGGACTCCGTGGGGCTGAGGTGCAGTGGAAAGATGAGCAGTGACTGTTCCCAGTGCTGTTGCTCATCAGAGAGCATGGGATGAGGTCACTCCGGCGATCTCTCATGCTTTAGCGTTTCCAGCTGTATGAGGGAGGTGTGGTGTAACTTCTCAGGCGGTTGTGTGGCTCTGGGCTCAGTTTTTGTTGAGAGCCTTCTGTGTGTCAGACACTGCTAGCATCATCATGTATGTCCTTTTATTTAATTCCTCCACATCACAGTGGATAGAAAACATGGTTCCTATTGCTACGAGCTCCAGAGCAGGAATTTGAATTTGCCTTCGAAGCCCGAGCTGCTCACAGCAGCTCACTGTCTTTTCAGCTTTCCCATCAGGATCAAATGAGACGAAGTGTGTGGAAAGGAGAAGCAACCTTTAAAAGTAGATCTTGGTAAAATTACTGTTTTCTGAAGTTGGACCAGGGAAGCTAAGAGGAAAGAGGGACAGTCCCCACTGACTGTCTTGGCTGCTGTGGGCCAGGCCTGTGCCAGTCACTTGGTGTCAGTGAGCTTATTGGATTTAGCTTTCCCAACCACATGGACACGGGGTCAGTCTGTCTGTCCCAGAACTGGCCGGGGGTGGTGGATGGAGCCTGGACTCTGGGCCAGTCACAGCCTGATGTGACACTGGATACACTGCCTGTTAGCTGTGTGCTCTTGACTTTGTTTTTTTTGGGAGGGTCTCAGTTTTGTCATCTTTTTTTTAATAAAAGGGGTATTAAATACCATACCTCAAAGATACTGTGAAGAACACATACGTAACTGCAATCGCACACGTGTAGCTCCTCTACAATGCCTGGCACTTGGAAAATCCCTGGTAAATGCCAGTTCTGTGAGGGTGGCATCACTGTTGCTGTTATTTCCATGTTCTGGGTTGGGGGCAGAAGGGCCGTCGGGCCCATGGGGAAGTACCCAGTAGAGGCCGGTGCTTTGCTTTCTCTCCTTGTGTGTGTGATTGCCCGTACATGCACTGTCAGCACCCGAGTTCCCTGTACACATTTACTGCTAACAGCGGTGATAAGCGCACAAGATCACTTTGGTGTTTGACCCGTTTCTTGGAGAAAGCAAAGATTCAGTAGGGAAAGTGATGTACATAGAGGAGATGAGCCTCTCAGCAGGCTTGGCGGACTGCATCCGATCATGTGATCTCTTTCTTGCCCAGGACAGCACGGTCTCTGGGCCCTTTTTCTTTTTTTTTTTTTTAGACGGAGTCACTCTGTCGCCCAGGCTGGAGTCCAGTGGTGCGATCTCGGCTCACTGTAACCTCTGCCTCCCAGGTTCAAGCGATTCTTCTCCCTCAGCCTCCTGAGTAGCTGGGACTACAGGCGCCCGCCACCACGCCTGGCTAATTTTTTGTAGTTTTAGTAGAGAGGTTTCACCATGCTAGCCAGGATGGTCTCGATCTCCTGACCTTGTGATCCACCTGCCTAGGCCTACCAAAGTGCTGGGATTACAGGTGTGAGCCAGCACGCCTGGCCTCTCAGCCCTCTTTCTAATTCCAAGGGAGAAGGGAGGCTACCTGAGATTCTACAGTAGTGCCTGGACCCCAAACCTTAAAAGCAGAGGTCAGCTCACACCTGTTTCTAGAAACAGCTTTTGTGTCCCCTGCCCCATAGGTTCCTGTAGTGGCTTTGGGCAGCATTTGGAACCACTGGCCAGATAAGATCCCTTAATGATGTGAAATACTGCATAAGGTCGAAGTTCCAACTTTAACATATCTGGGCTAAATTTTTAAAACTATTCAACAATTCATGAAGATAATTAAAGAACATGTGAAAGTCTGAGAAGGAGAGCCAACACTCATCATTCTCCACTCTTAACACAATCATTTTTATTCCAGTGCCTTTCATTCCAGGCTAATCCATATGGATACAGATTTTTATATAGTTGTTTCATTGTGTACATAAAACTTTGTCTCCTGCTTTTTCATTTAACGTAAGCATTTTGCATGTGGCTCTGTGATCTTTATAATTTTAATGGGCGCATAGTATTCTTTGAAGGGGCTGTTAACAGAAATTAACGTTGTATTGGTGAATGTTCTAAGTTTCTTCTGTTTTTTCTCTTATAAATAATGCTGCAGTATTTGTGCATAAGATTTATTCCTTATTTTAGGTTAGTTCACTGGGATAAATTTACAGAAGTGAGATTTCTTGGCTTAAAGATTTTCAGTCGCTTTCTAGTTCTTGATGTTGGATGCCAAGCCAAGTTGCTTTCCGATAAGGTTTAATTTACACTGTGTCCTTTTGCTTTTAAAATAAGGTAGTGAGACATCTGCAGCCTGGTTGTGATGCCAAGTATTGAGATAGTATGGAGAATGTCCCAGCTGTTGAAGGCAGAGAATGGACTTACAAATAAGTGGCGCCAGAGGTAGGGGATCTCACAGCTTGTCCCTGGGTGGCACTGGTCAACCTGTCCCAGGGCAGCACTCGAGAGGGAGGGAGGCCCTCGGAGTAGCCAGAGCCCCTGGAGAGGGCTGATAGATGCCCCACAGGGCTGGAGGTTTCTGTATGGAGTCCTGCTGTAGGTCACTCATATTAGGCATGATGTGAATGTGCTCCACTCAGCTACTGTGATCTGATTGAAATAACCTTTTAAGAAAAGAGCTTGCAACTGTGGAAAGACCACTGTTTTGGATCAGGTTGACATGGAGTCTGGGCTTTGATGGGACTGTATGAACCGCCTTAACCCCTGTGTTTACCTGTCTTTAAAGTGGTCTAATAAGCCATGACAGTGTCCTCTGCACAAATCCTTTGTGAAAGAACAATTTGTAATTAATAAAAAAAAAAGACCTTTTGAAAAAAATAGATTAAGACAATCCTTATAGGGTTTTGGGGTAATAGTCACACAGCTAATAGCTGCTGAACCTTGAGCAAAGAAAATGTTAATGAGAAAATGTACATTTTAAATGAATAAAAAGAAACATACAGTCCCTATGTATTTCTTGTTTGTTAGGAACTTTTTCAGGCACTCCTCCCCGCAGCGTCACTCATGAGTTTCTTTTTCTTGGGTGCAGATAGCACACATTTTGCATGGTGTGCCTCACACGGTGTTTCTCATCTCTAGCTACTTTCACCATCTTTCTAAATATCCCACGTGGGTCATATCATTTTACCAACTTTGAAAGGATTTGTCAGGCCTTTTTCAAATGCCTGCTTTATCAGTCCTGAGGCTGCACAGCCTTGGCCTTGCCATGGAGAGATGGCAGCAGGACAGTGGACTCCGGGGATTCAGTGAGCACGCGGACATGTCTTGTCTCTGCCTTCTTGCTGTGACCAGTGGGTGTGATGTGCTGGTCTCTGCCATCTGCTGTCTCCCAGGGCAGCTTGGGAAAGCCTCTCCTTTCCCCCAACTTCCTTGCTTTCTTCCCTTTTCCCAAAATCCAGATCTAATTCTAATGGTACCCAAAGAGAAGTCAACTGAAGTTTGAGGTTTCTCCCTTTGAAGATAAGGGGTAATTGCTGTACAGAGAACCTCAGAATGGGGGAGAATTGCTGTAGTGGGGGAGTCATGAGGAGTAAAAGAGAGAACATGCTAGTGCTAGGCCTGGGGTGGATGTTGAATAAACATTAGTCCCTCTCACTCACACTTGGGTTGGCTGTACCTGGGCTGTACTGCCAAGAATTTCCAACTCTGTAATGATTTGTGATGAGATAAGTCAGGGGAGAAGCTTAATTACAAATTTTCCATTTCGTTTGTAACCCTCAGCCCTCTTGGGGCTCTTTGCATATCATTCTGAGACTCTTTTTTTTTTTTCTTGGAGATGCTCTTCAAAACAGAGTCAAGTGTTTTATTTTTTTGGTGGTGGGGGGTGACAGAGGGTCTCTTACTCTGTTGCCCAGGCTGGAGTGCGATGATGCGATCCTGGCTCACTGCAGCCTCAAACTCCTGGGCTCAGGTGATTCTCCTGCCTCAGCCTCCCAAGTAGCTGGGACTACAGCTGTGCATCCCCACACCTGGCTAATTTTTAAAATTTTTTGTAGAAGCAGGGTCTCACCACGTTGCCCAGGCTGGTCTTGAGCTCCTGGGCTCAAGTTGTCCTCCCACCTTGGCCTCCCAAAGTGCTAGGATTACAGTCGTGAGCCACCACTCCCAGCATGGAGCCAGTTCTGACTCAGTGGTTACAGAGCAGGCCTAGGAAGGAACCAGTTGTATGGAAGTTAGGCCCTCATGGGAAGGATTTAACCAGGTGGTCATGGGAGATGGTGGCACCTACTGGTGACAAGGAGCATTGCACTTTAGTTCTGTGAGACCTGCTTGTGGGCTGAGGTGAAGTGGGGAGGAAAGCAGCCTTGCGGGGATATTGACATGGAGGTCAGGGAACTGCCGAGCGTGGAGGAGCGCCGTGGTGATGGGAGGAAGGGGCGGTGGAGCAGCACGGGTGTGAAATGTGCAGGGCTGCAGCCTGGCCGGCTGACGAGGCTGCCTCCTGCTGGCCTCCCTGCGGCTGCTCCACTGTGGCCCTTGGGCCCCGCTCATCACCAAGTGCTGCCTGAGGGCTTCACCTCTCTCCTCCCACCTTTTTTTCTTACCTATTGGCAATGATTATTTTTAAATTTTTAAAATGCAATTGATTTTTACATAAATCACATGGGAAATAATTTTCTAAAATACCCCCCCCTTTTTTTTGTAAAGAGACATTTTCTAGTCCAGTGTGCAGAAATTCTTCATTTTTCTAAAGTAAAAGAACCTGCTTCAGCTGTGGTTGGGAAACCCAGAACAAGAAGTGAGCTGCAGTTGAGAGAGGGCTTTGTGTGCCACCCCCTGACTGGGGAGGCGGTGGACTCGGAGCAAGTGTTAGAAAATGGAGCCATAAAAGACTCCTTAAAGTGTCGGGCGCTCAGCTAACTTAGGGCTAGAATTATATATCATCTCTTAAAGGACCTGCTGTTCTTGCCTTCAGGAATGGGAAGTTATCACCAGGAGCTAAGAGCTGACCTGCTTCATAAACTCTTACTTAGACCTAGGAATGAGGAAAAGCTGCATGCGAGTGGCATCCCTTGTGCTCGCTTTCTCTGGGCTAAAACGTTTAGGATGGTCTGGCAGCTCTTGAAGAGAGGATGGTGGCGTGGAATAGATTCCTCTGAGGCCTTGCCCCTCCTGTCCCCGGAGCTGAGCTGATTATTCTCATTGGAAGATTGGCTTTCGAGCATTTATCAAGAGATTTGTACCTGAGTTTTCTTGAACGAAGAGGGAGGCAAGAGGGCTTAAAATTTCCATTAAAAATGAACAGGCACCCAGGAAATACATGATTGACGGATGTTGGCCCAGGAGTTTTCAGTGTAGTTGCTTTCCCTTTAGGTAAATAGGATTATGCGCACATTTTTGTAATTTTTTACAATTTTATTTTTTTCTAGAACAGTTTTAGACTTACAGAAACATGGGGAACATTGTGCAGAAAGTTCCTATATATATCATACCAAGTTTCCCTGTTATTAAAATCTTACATCAGTATGATTCATTTATTGTAAAGAACCAGTATTGATATGTTATTAACTAAAGTTCTCTCTTTATTCAGATTTTTTACAACATCCCCTTGTGTTCTTTTTCTGTTTTAATATGTTATCCAGAATACCACATTCCAGTTAGTGATTATGTCTTCTTACTGTGACATTTTTTTAGACTTTCCTTTTTTGTTATGACCTTGACGGTTTTGAGGAGGCTTGGTCAGGGATTTTTTAGAATATTCCTCGTCTGGGGTTTGTTTGATGTTTTTTCTCATGATTAGATGAGAGTTATGGGTTTGGGAGAGGAAGACCACAGAAGTAAAATATGCATAAATTTGTAAACAAGTTGTTGAATGAGTTAATTATGGAGAGAAAGGGAAGTTTAGTACCCCTGAATAGTAACTGGAAGAGGAGTAAAGGCTGGACCCCCAGATTGGAAGAAGGCAAGTTTAATGTTCTTAATGATGGGACTTAATGTCTAACTTGTGTCATGCCTTATAGTTCAAAGGGGATGGGATAGAGTGGTTCTTACATTTTCATGTTATATCTTGGGAAACTGAGGCTCAGAGAAGCAGCCTGAGTTGCCTAAGGTCATAGAGATAGACCAGGATTTACTGGATATGCCAGTGCATTTGCAAACTATTCCTAGTTGCATTTTCTATGCCCAGAGGTTCTAGACTCAACTGGCTGGGTCACCGATGGCCATTTCATCTGTGCGTAGCTATAGGGATTTAAATAGGAGGATTTTTGTTAAATGAAGACAATTGACCGACTGTGCGTGGAATCAATGTGCAGGATGATTCACCAGGCTTTCTGCCTGTTAGAGAAGTTAAATGGTTGAGAATTAATAATTATGCGATTGTAGTTCACGACTTCAGCACAAGTCATTGTTACAGTTCTCAAATGTTGAGCAGCCCCACGTTATTCCCCACCAGTGTGTTTTTCTCTGAGGTTACACAGTAAAATAAGTGAAGTGCTGACCTTTATCATAACATATTTTTTATTTGTGAGCAAGTGGAGTATGTATAAAGCAGTTTGTGACTTTGAATCCAAAATAGAAATTTGCCCTCCTCTCATTTTCGCAGCATTGAGTTTCATAAACTAAGTTGGAGCAGTGAAAGTGAAACTGGAAATGCATGGATGAAGCCAGTGGTTCTGAACACTGAGAACTGCCTGGGAGCTTCTAGAAAAACCCCCAAGGCTGGGTCCCATTCCCTAAAGTTGTAATTATATTGGCCAGGGCAGGAACAGGCCTTGGGAAATCCAAAACTTGGCCTTTCTGTCTTGTTCCTCACTCTGTACTCTACCCAGGTCTTCATTCTTAAACCTTTCATATCTTTTGATTCTTGCCTAAGTAGAGGTTTTGGGAGCTGTTGGGCTGGAGCTTTCAAAGCTTGCAGTAGGCTGATCTTACTTCTCTACCTATATTTTACCTGTTCTCCCTAGGTGATGAAACTAGGAGGGCCCATGGCTACTTCTGCTACATGGGGCACAAAACATGCTTCAGAAATATTTGAGAGACTGAATGAAGCCTGTCTCTGGTCTCTAGGGTATATTACGTTCCCTTTCTATTCTAATGATGAGTAGGAGGAAAGATACCACTCTTTCTTGTAAACCAAACTGTTCTTGCTTTCAATGGGGATTTTTATTAAGAAGCAAAAACTGATCTCTTTTATAAATGCATAGATACCAGTGTTTTACACAGTACAGGCTTCTGGTTTTAAGAGAACTTTTGCCATGGTTCAGAGTGATCTTACTAGCCTAGTATATTGGTTTGTTTTACATTGCTATAAAGGAATACCTGAGACTGGGTAATTTAGAAAGAAAAAAGGTTTATTTGGCTCACGGTTCTGTAGGCTGTACAAGAAACATGGCAACAGAATCTGCTTCTGGTGAGGACTTCAGGAAACTTTTCATCATGGTAGAAGGTGAAGGGGAGCAGGTGTGTCACATGGCAAGAGAGTGAGCAAGAGAGAGAGGGGAGGAGGTGCCAGGTTCTTTTAAACAATCAAATCTGTGTGAACTCTTTCCTTTACCATGGGGAGAGCACAAAGCCATGCATGAGGGATCCACCCCCATGACGCAAACACCCCCACCAGGCCTCACCTCCAACATTGGGGATCACATTTCAACATCAGATTTGGAGGAGACAGCTATCCAGATGAAATCACCTAGTTAACTCTGGTGTTCTTTTTTCAGGACCCTTTCCCAGTGAGTTAAAATTAAATTTGTGAGTTTATTAATAGGTCACACAGCCTATTTGGAAAGTAAGTTTTTTTGCCTTCTTGTGAGAAGACCTGAAGATTATTCCTCTACACTACCCTGGTGGAACGCCAACCTTGAAGAATTAGAAATAAGTCCTTCTGCTTCTCCCATGGGTCACTTTATAGGGAAAATGCTTGATCAGGGGAGGTCTTGGTCTTTAGCGGGAAACTAAGTCTACTCTGTAAAAATTTGCTTTCGAGTGAACAGTATTTTAGTTAGTTTGTAATGTCTTAGCTTTGCAGCTTAGCTTAGTCTTACCTTTTGAGAAATGGGCTGTGAAATATAAATTATTACATCATTTAAAAATTTCTGGCAACCTGTTTTTTTCCCCAAAACTTGAGGGTTGCTGTGTGGATTGGCTGTAGTGGTAATTACTGAAAAGTCATCAAATAACAGTGAAAACTAGACAACTGATTAGAAGGGAATCAAGTAGTCATTCAGATGGTATTTTCGGTAATTTAATCTGCCTCTGACCATATGTTCTAGTCAGCTGAAATAATTTAACAGTGACAACATATATTTCAGCAAGCAGAGATTAAAAACAGCCCATTTATTTTCTGTTTTCTCCCGCAGTAATATTTTTATGTCTCCGTTAACAAATATGATGTTCGCCATTTAAATTATATGGAAGCAGCTTTGGATGATTTAGCAATATACATAACATTTATTCTTTGTTATTATCTAGTTTTATGTATGTAAGCATGTTTATTTTAGTGGTGTTTCATAATTCAAAAATGTTACCAGAGGTGGTAATTGTATTT
The DNA here is from genome assembly GCF_000001405.40 of Homo sapiens. Classification (NCBI taxonomy): domain Eukaryota; kingdom Metazoa; phylum Chordata; class Mammalia; order Primates; family Hominidae; genus Homo; species Homo sapiens. The sequence continues at coordinate 230,171,822 of NC_000001.11, forward strand.
ATATTGGACATGGGTAAGACATCAGCGTGAGATGAAGCCACATTTTTGCTGCTTTTGTGACTCAATTCTTGGGCTTCCAACACCTCACAGCCCCTGCCCCCCACCCCTGTCCCACACAAATGACTGGCTGGGTGCAGCAGTCTCTGCCACTAGCAAGCCTTATGGCATTGATAAATGTAGTGGTTTTAGAATATTCTAAATATTAACCAATTTTTTTTATTATCCTCCTCTCAAAACTGGAGGCTAGTCTCAGCTCCACCAAACCCGATTTCACGTGAGCTGGACATGGTGACATGGTTCATTATTTCTTATGAACAGACTGTGACAGGGCAACAGTGAGTGATTTCCAAGACTAGGCCATAAAAGGCATCACCGTGTTTCCCTTGCTCTTGTATGTGCCCTCTTCCTCATATTCACTGGGGAAGCCAGCCGCCTCTTGGGAGGACACTTAAGCAGCCCTACTGGATGGGCCCCAGTGAGGAACTGGGGCCTCCTGGCCACGTGAGTTACCCATCTTGGAAGCAGACCCCAGCCCTAGGCAAACCTTCAGAGAACAGCAGCCCTGGCCGAAATCTTTGCAGCCCCATTAGAAATCGTGGGCCAGAACCATTCAGATTCCTGACCCTCAGACACTGTGTGAGGTAATAAACATTTATTGTTTTAAGCTACTGAGTTTTGCAGCAGTTGATAAGTCAGGTAGCCCTTCTGGATCCTTTTTGCCAATCCTCTGGGAAACGAATGGTTGGACTGCACAGTGCCCTGCACGCATAGATTCGATCAATAGTGCCTAAGGGGCTTGCTCATCTTCCAGCCACTGTACCTCCTCATCCCCACGGCGCCTTTCCTCCTCCACTCCCCTGACCACTTGCCTTTGGCAACTGAGCCAAGAACACTTCTTATTTTTTTCTTATTTGGATCAGAGACAGATTATACTGGGAATATTCTATTAACAACGAAACCTATATTTACACTTAATTAGTTTCCATAACTATTTAATAAACTCACCTATTGGGTTTACTGCTTCTGAAAATAGTGTCATAGTATTTAGATGTCATTGCTATTTTATGTACTTAGAGATAGGATGAATTTGAGCTGCTGTGCTCTCTGATTATGGCAGGTAAGTAGACGTCGCTCAGCCATGGATTCCCGTCTGATTACACTCATGGCCCTGGTTTAATTCCATTTGTGCCTCTGTTGTGTGCATTTGTAAGAACAATTTGGGAGATACATATTTTGAGGTTTTAGGATACATAATTTTGAACCAGATTAAAATGTCTAATAACAATAATCACTACCATCTGGGGTAAGTTAGTAAGTAGGAGAAGACTTAGAGTTCTCTTTCTCTGGCCCAGATGCCATTTACAAAGGGAGCGAAGACCACAGCGCTGTACTTTAGGGCATCTAGGTCTTTCCAGAGGCTGCGTGTGGATGCATCCAATACTCTAGACCAAGGGGTGATGCCAGGCAGGGCAGCAGCGTTCTCCTGTCCCATGTTTCTCATTTGGTTGGCAGGGCATCCTAGACCTCTGGTTAAACTTCCCTGATGGAATGCAGTATTTGGTCAGAGCTGCTGAGCCCTCCCTTGTCTACACTTTCCTGAAGCACCATCTGTCTGTGGGGTAATCATTCTGCATTCACTGTCAACATCCCTCCTTTGAGGGTGGTGGAAACAAAGCAGAGATGGGTCTGCATCCTGGGAAATCAAAGCGGGCTTACAAGATCACAGGCTTTGAATTCTCTGCAACTTTTGACCCAGCATAAACCACATCATGACTTGTCTAATCTCAGTAGTTTATACTTGTCACTAAAAAGAGGACCTGTCTGTCACTGCATCAGTTTCCCCTTAAAAGGGAGAAAACACACAGATCTGTTGGTAGCACAGCCAGGATACCAGTGGCTACTGGGCGCAAGAGCCTTCTTCATACATTTGCATTCAGTACATTTCCATTTTTGAGCGGCACTGATGCTAGTGTAAATAAGTCTTATAATGTATGTAAATGTATGGGAGGGGGATTGTAACGAAAAACTTCCACTGCAGAGTAGGCGAAGCCAGTACAATCAATCTGAGTAAGTAGGGCGAGGATTTTTTTTTTTCAGCTGCATTTATTATTGAGCAACTATTGTAAGGCCACCAGCGCACTTGGTACCATAAGGATACAGAAGGAATATGACAGCTTTCCTTACCCTCAAAGAACCTGAAATCTTTTTGGATATCAAACATGGGCGAAGCAGGTAGCAAATGTAAAAGACCCCCAAGTGCTAACTGAATGTATCACCTACACAAGAACACTGGGCAGGCAGGGACCCGCTGTGCAAGAGGCATTGAGCCCAGCCTCCTAATCTTAGAGAAGTTAGACTCCAACACCCACTGCCATTGGCAGAGGCGTGGCTGGAACCCAAGGCTCTGGCTCCGAGGCCAGTGCTGCTCCCCACGTGTCATGCGGGGTCTCCTCCTTTCCTACTTGTCCCTGCAGCATTGGCCTCTCCTCTCCCCTGCACTGACACCTCACCTTCCCTGAGTGGTCTCCCTCCTGCTCACCAGTAGCTTTAATTACCCGGGGCCTTTTCACAACCCCAGATTTGTGCCTCCATCTGTTTGCAGATGCCTCCTCTTGGTATCTCACAGTAGCTTCATCATTTCCAAACCAAACTCCTCTATATTTCCTAGCACTGCTTCTTACCCTCCCCAGCAACTGTCTTGCATTTCTTCTCGGTGGACATCACACCTGTGTAGGAAGTGCTGCAGTCAGAAACCTGGGGCCGTCTTTGATTCTTCTTCCCCTTCGCACTCCTCCTGCTGCATTGCCAGCCCCTCCTAGCTGCACCTGTCTCCGCTCTGTCCCTCCGGGACCTGGACTGGGTCCAGCATGCCATCTTCCCATTGCTGCATTACTGAAATGGCCTCCTGGGCTCTCTTGTGCCCTCTAGTCTGCCCCCACCTTATAGCCATAGTGATATTTCTAGAATACAGGTCTCAGACTATCCTGCCGCTTCCGTGCCCTCCTGTTTTTGATCTTTCCCTTGTTCCATCTGTCTGGTACACCCACCACCGCTAGTCCCCATTGTTCCTTCTTGCCTCCCTTAGGTCTCCACCGAGGTACCACTTCCGTGTACAGCCTTCCTGGGGGCCCTGTTCTACGCGGGGCCTGTGCCTCTGGGCCGTTGTTCCCCACGCTTGTCTGTGGGTGTCTTTGCACAGCACAGGCCAAGATGCCTGGCCCCTGCTGTGTCTCTAGGAGCTGACTTTCTTAATACCAGGCCAAGGCCTTCGGTAGGGGTGGAGAGAAGAGAGTGGGACAAGACAAGCATCTACAGACCAGTGGTGGGTTGAGTGTGGGTGCTCCATCAGCCAGTGAACCTAGTCAGCCATCTTTGTAGGAATTTATTTCTAGTGACCAGACATATTCTGAGATGAATGGTTAGTACAATGTCTTAATTGAACTTTGGCTATTTAGTTGAGGGAGGGAGGAAGCTATCTTATCTAGAGGCAGTACAGCTAAATGACTGAGACCATAAACTCCAGCCCTGAGCTCCCCAGGGTGTGGATCCAGCCTCATACGAACACTAAATGTTCAGTGCCTTGGCTTCCTCACCTGTAAAATTGGAATAGTAATAGCATTGCAGGAAGATGAGCATATGTGCAGTGTCCAGAGTGGGGCTTGGCACCTCGTAAATACTGTGTTAGGCAGCAGTCACCATGGTGGTTCCTCCTTTTCATTGTCCTCCCCTCCCCCTCCTTCCCCTCCTCCTCTGCCTCCTCCCCTCCTCGTCCCCTCCTCGTCCTCCTCCTCCCCCTCCCTCTCCCCTCCTCCTCCTTTCCCTCTCCCCCTCCTCCTCCTCACTGTCCTCCCCCTCCTTCTCCTTGGGGGCTCCTCTTCCCCTTCCCCATTTTTACTGTAGGAGCAGGTATTTAAGATGATAATCTGCAGGTTTTGGCCTGGGAGTCCAGAACAAAACAGTCCTATGTGAGTGACCTCCTAGAAATGTATTCTTGGGTTTTTATGACATTTTGAGAATCAGGCTCTTATAATTTAGTTTAAATCGAGCCCTAGCCTGTCATTCCCACTCTGACTTACATAAAGGGCCAGATTTAGCTTTTTACCAGCTGCGTAACCTGGACAAATTGCTTAGCCTATCTTATGTGTCCTCATTGTAAGACAGGAATTATAAAATGCAGGAATGAGAGAGGGTCAATGCACAATGCTTGGCGCATAGTAGGTATTCGTAAATGGCAGGGCTTGTTCCATCTGCTTGGTACCTTGTCATGCCCTAATTATATGGGCATGAACTCACCCTGCACTAGTTTTATAGTAGGCATCGTTGATTGGAAGGAAGAAGGGAGGTTGAGGAGTGCTCACCCTGCACTAGTTTTATAGTAGGCATCATTGATTGGAAGGAAGAAGGGAGGGTGAGGAGTGTTACCTGTGGGCAAATCAATCTTATTTGTGGGCACAAAAAAAAAGTTTATTTTCTGGGAAAACACTGATGGTTGACCTGCAAATGTCAGATAATGACTACAGATGATGACTTTATTTTTACATGTAGAAAATATGCTAGAGTCACCAGCCCCACTGGCAGTGTTCACTTTTGATTTTATTCAGCTACAAGTTTAAATGATTTGATCCATTAGCTGGTGTACATAGAAGGCCAGATGCTGGGGTGGGGGTTGAGAGGTGGGAATTATCAGCCACAATGCTACAATCAAGCCTCAAAATAAAAATTAATGCGTAATTAAAAGTCTGCAGAGTGTGACTGTGGTAATTTCATTACTTGCTGATTTCGTATTCACATGTATCTCCTTACTTTGTAAAGCCAGTTGGTGGGTTAAATTCTCTCACCGTTGCCTATCTGCCAGGGTTCCCGCAAAATCAGTGCCAGTAGTAAATTGAAAGTTTCTTTATAGCCAAGTAATCTCAAAAGCCAAGTTATAAATATATCTTTTCAAAACTTTTTTGCAGTAAAAATTATTTAAATTGGGATACAGCTGCATTCTAATACATTTGTTGCAGCGTGGGGTAAGACTTGCAAAAGTACATGGGGCACTTAAAGGCCAGGAAGGTGTTCTGCTGGGTGGGTGGGGCTTGGACCCCCGGCTGCAGAATGGTTTCTCTCACCAGCCCGCCAAGGCTACAGTTCCTCCCTTCCTGCCATTTTCACGGCAGCCCTGATGTGATAAACCCAGCTGTATCGCCTCATTAGAGAAGCAACGGAAGCAAAAGCTAGCCAAGAGATGGGGGAGTCTTAGGCACAGTTTCTGTCTAATTACCGCACCTCTTGAGTAAAAATGCAGATTATTGGCAAAGCAAGTTGCATTTGGAAAAAATGTGTCATTTGGCCCAGGCCCTGAGGTTTACCCTTCTGCAGATCTCACTTTACGTTTTAAGTAAAGAACCAAAACGTCTCCAGTGGTGAACGTGCGTGCAGCACACAGTCCGCACTGGTCCAGAGGAGTGCTGGTGGAATAAACCCGGGGAGAGCTGGGTTCCCCGCCCCGCAGGGAGGGATTACTGTTGCGTATCCGCCTAATCGCATCTGCTCAGGAAAATGGCCAGCTGACAATGCTTGGCTCACAGGAGTCTGGTGGGAAAATTACTAGCCATGGCTTATTTCTGATTTGGGTTATATACAGAAACCTTTCTTATTTTAGTCACAGAAATCAGATTCCCAGTGGTGGAAAATATATATTTAGCTCTGTGGTCGTGCAGTTGTTATTTAGTCTGATTTAATGTTGATAAATTAGAGTAAATTGTTTGCCCAGATGAGTTGAATAAATTCTGCCAGAGCTTATATCTTATTCTGTTTTCACATTGAGTCCTTAATATGTATCTCTGTTTCATTGGCAGTCCTATTAGAGTAAGTCCTAGAAAAAGCTTGGTGGCCCTACCCCCTGCTCCTGTGTTAGTCAGTGGAATTAAATCATTTAACACTCTCTGAGGGGAGCTCAAAGGAGCCCTTAGGGAGAATCTGGTCCTAAGATGTCCATAAACCACCTAAGATGTCTGGAGAGCTACCTTCATTTTAATGGCTTTAATTTAACCACTCTAGAATTATTTCATTTAATCCACTTTCCCTATCTCGCTTCCCCACCCTCACAAATCCCCAAAGCCCTGGGAGTTTTTGGAGTATTTCCTTCCCACAGATAAGCAATACAAATATAAAATGAAGAGAGAAATGCAAACCCTTGGGAAAGGTCATGCCCATACTTTTCTCCCCTTGCATCTTGACTCCCTAACAATTTCTGGTGTGTGGGGTCTTTAAGATGTGCCCTCCCTCCTGCTCATCAGTGCATCCCCAGGGCCAAGTGTTAACTCTCCTAAGACTCGGTATGTATTGAACTGATGAATGAAGGTGTGCTTGAAGAACAAGTCAACTCATTCAGTGTCTTTGTTCCCCTAGGAGGACTGGAATGAAATTGACCCCATTAAAAAGAAAGACCTTCATCACAGCAATGGAGAAGAGAAAGCACAAAGCATGGAGACCCTCCCTCCAGGTACTGCCAGGGGCCAGGAAGCCATCTTGCTTTGAGCACGTGATTGGGAGTGGACTGAGCATGGCTCTTGGAGCAGGTGGTCTGTGGGGAGAGGCTGGATTCCATAGGTCAGCAGGAGACACCGCCCTAAAGCACTGCTTTGCCAACTTCCATCGGACCCATTAGTGGGTGGTCAAGTTAAAACTTTTATAGGAGGTGACCAAAATGTGTTGAAAAGAAAATAAAAATAGACTAAAGTAGAAAGTATATATTAGTATATATTAGTTCATGAAATATTTTTAATAGACTTTATTTTTTAGGGCAGTTTTAGCTTCAGAACAAAACTGAGGGGAAGGTACAGAGAATTCCTGTATACCTCCTGCACCCCCACCCCCAACACACATACAACCTCCTCCATTGTCAGTATCCCCCAACAGAGTGGTACATTTGTTACAATCCATGAACCTGCATTGACACGTCATCATCACCCGAAGTCTGTAGTTGACATTAGGGTTCACTCTCGATGTTACACATTCTGTGGGTTTGGACAAATGCATAATGGCGTTTAGCCGCCATTGTAGTATCATACAGAGTCGTTTCACTGCCTTAAGAGTCCTCCGTGCTCTGCCCATTCATCCTTTGCTCCCCCCAGCCCCTGGCAACCAGCGATCCTTTTGTTGCCTCTGAAGTTTTGCTTTTCTAGAATGTCAGGCAGTTGGAATCATAGGGTATGTCAGCTTTTCAGATTAGCTTCTTTCACTGAGTAATATATATTTAATATATATTTATTTTAATATATTAATATTTAATATATATTTAAGGTTCCTCCATGTCTTTTCATGGCTGGATAGCTCATTTCTTAATGAATTAACATTCCATTGTCTGGGTGTATTAGTTTGTTTATTCACCTAGTGAAGGACATCTTGGTTGCTTCCAAGTTTTGGCAATTATGATTAAAGCTACTATAAATATCTATGTACCAGTTTTCGTGTAGACATAAGTTTTCAGCTCATTTGGGTAAATACCAAAGGGTATGATTGCTGGATCATATGGTAAGAGTATGCTGAGTTTTGTAAGAAACTGCTAAGTTGTTTTCCAAAGTGGCTGTTCCATTTTCCATTCCCACCACAGTGAGTGAGGGTTCCTGTTTCTCTACATCCTCACCAGCATTTGGTGTTGCCAGTGTTCTGGATTTAGGCCACTCTAATAGGTGTGGAGTAGTATTTCACTTTTGTTTTTATTTCCAATTCTCTAATGACATATGATGTTGAGCATCTTTTCATAGGCTTATTTGCCATCTGTATATTTTCTTTTCTGAGGTGTTCACTCCTTTTGCGCATTTTTAATCCAGTGGTTCATTTTCTTATTGTTGAGTTTTAAGAGTCTGTATACATTTAGGATAATCGTCCTTTATCAGATATGGGTTTTGTAAATGTTTCTCCTAGTCTGTGGCCTGTCTTCTCATTGTCTTGATAGTGTCCTAGAAGATTTTAATTGATTAAAATCTGGCTTATCAATTATTTCCTTCATTGTCACGCCTTTGGTGTTTTCTCTAAAAAGTCTTCACCATGACAAAAAGGTCACCTAGATTTTCTTCTATGTTATCTTCTATGAGTTTTATACTTTGGTGTATTTACTTATTTATTTGAGACAGAGTCTCACTCTGTTGCCCAAGCTGGAGTGCAGTGGTGAAATCTCAGCTCATTGCAACCTCCACCTCCCAGGTTCAAGCGATTCTCCTGTTTAAGCCTCCCAGTAGCTGGGATTACAGGCATCTGCCACCAAGCCCAGCTAATTTTTGTATTTTTAGTAGAGACAGCGTTTTGCCATGTTGGCCAGGCTGGTCTCAAACTCCTGACCTCAGGTGATCCGCCCGCCTCGGCCTCCCAAAGTGCTGGAATTACAGCGGGAGCCACCACGCCTGGCCTACTTTGGTGTTTTACATTTAGGTCTGTGATTCATTTGGAGTTAATTTTGTGAAAAGTGTAAGAGCTGTGTCTAGGTTCTTTTTTTTTTTTTTTTTTTTTTTTTTGGCATGTGAGTGTCCAGGTCTTCCAGAAACATTTGCTGAAGAGACTCTCTTCTCTCCGCTTTATTGCCTTTGCTCCTTTGTCAGAGATCAGTTGGCAATATTCGTATGGTTCTATATTGGAGCTCTTTATTTGCTTCCATTGGTCTATTTTTCTGTTATTTTGCCACTACCACACTGCCTTGATTACCATGACTTCATGTAAAGTCTTGAAGCCGAGTAGTGTTAGTCACCTTTGTTTTCTTTCAAGGTAGTTTTAGCTATTCCAGATCTTTTGCTGTTCCATATAAATTTGTAAATTTTAGAATCAGTTTGTTAATATCCACAAAACAACTTGCTGGGATTTTGGCTCTAATTGCATTGAATCTATAGATCAAGTTGAGATTAACTGACATTTTGACCATATTGTCTTACTCCCCATGAATGTCAAATATTTTTTCATTTAATTCTTTTGATACCTTTTATCAGAATTTTGTAGTTTTCCTCATACAGAATTTATACATATTTTGTCAGATTTGTACCTAAGTTTTTCATTTTGGGAGTTTCTAATGTAAATGGTCTTGTGATTTTCACTTCACATTCCACTCCTTTGTTACTGGTATATAGGAAAGCAGTTGACTTTTGTATATTGACCTCACATCTTGTAACCTTGCTGTAATTGTTTATTAGTCCTAGGAAATTTTTGTTCATTGTTTCAGGTTTTCTGCACAGACAATCATGTGATCTATGAACAAATAGGATTTTATTTATTTTCTTCCAATCTTTATACTTTTTTTTTTGTCTTATTTCATTAGCTAGGACTTCCAGCACAGTGTTGAAGAAGAGTGGTGAGGGGTCATCTTTGCCTTGTTCCTGATCTTAGTGGGAAAGTTTCCAGTTTTTCACCATTAAGTATGATGTTAGCTGCAGGATTTTTGTAGGTATTCTATATCAAGTTGAGGAAGTTCTCATACATTCCTAGTTTGAGAATTTGTAACATGAATGGGTGTTGGATTTTGTCAAGTGGTTTTTTTGCATCTATTGATATGATCATGTGATTTTTCTTGCTTAGCTAGTGGACATGATGGATTACGTTAATGGGTTTTCATTTGTTGAGCCACTGTTGCATAACTGGCATAAATCCTACTTGATCATGGTGTATAATTCTCTTTATACATTGTTGAATTTGATTTGCTTTATTTTGTTGAGAATTCCTGCATATGGTCATATGAGAGCTATTAATCAGTACCTTTCGTTTCCTTTTTTTTTTTTTAGAGACAGGGTTTCACCATGTTGGCCAGGCTGATCTTGAACTCCTGACCCCAGGTGATCTGCCTGCCTCAGCCCTCCCAAAGCGCTGGGATTACAGGCGTGAGCCAGCACACCCAGCCATACCTTTCTTTTCTTAAATGTCTTTGTCTGGTTTTTGGTATTAGGGTAATGCTGGCCTCATAGAATGAGTTAGGAAGTATTTCTTCTGCTTCTGTCTTCTGGAAGAGATTGTAGAGAATTGGTATAATTTCTTTCTTTAAATGTGGGTCAGAATTCATCAGTGAACACACCTAGGCCAGGTGCTTTCTGTTTGGGAAGATTATTAATTATTGATTCAATTTCTTTAATAGATATGACCAGTTCAAATTGTCTATTTCTTCTTATGTGAATTTTGGCAGAGTATGTCTTTGGAGGAATTGGTCCATTTAATCCAGCTTATTGAATTTATGGGAATAGAGTTGTTCATACTATTCCGTATTGTCCTTTTCATATCCATGGGATCTGTAGTTATATCCCCACTTTCATTTCTGATATTGGTAAAATGTGCCTTTTTTCCTTTTCACTTAGTCTGGTTAGAGATTCATTGATTTTATTGATATTTTGAGAGAACCAGTTTTTGTTTTTGTTTTTTTCTGTATTGATTTTCTGTTTTCAATTTTATTGATTTCTGTAATAATTTTTAGTATGTCTTCTACTTACTTTGGATTTAACTTTCTCCTTTTTCTAGTTTTTTCAAGTAGAATCTTAGATGATTGCTTTTAGATCTTTCTTATTTTCTAATGTATGCACTCAGTACTATAAATTTCTTTGGAAGCACTGCTTTTGCTGCATCTCACAAATTTTCATAAGTTTTGTTTTCATTTTTATTTACTTTGGAAATTTAAAATCATTTTTTCTTGAGATTTCTTCTTTGACCCCTGTGTCATTTAGAAGTGCGTTGTTTAGTCTCCATGTACTTTGGGATTTCCCAGCTAGCTATCTTTCTGTTATTGAATCTAGTTTAATTGTATTGTGTTCTGAGAGCACACAGTCTGATTTCTGTTCTTTTCAATTTGTTAAGGTATGCTTTGTGGCCCAGAATGTGGCCTCTTTTGGTGAATGTTCCATGTGAGTTTGAGAAGAATGTGTACTCTGCTGTTTTTGACTGAATTAGTCTATAGATATCAATTATATCTAGTTGATTGATGGTGTTGTTGAGTTCAACTCTGTCCTTATTGAGCTTCCTCTTGCAGGATCTGCCCATTTTTGACAGAGGACTATTGAGGTCTCAAACTATAACAGTGAGTTCATTTATTTCTCCTTGCAGTTCTATCTATCATGAACTGCATGGACATTTTTATGCCTCATGCATTTTTATGCTCCTTTTAGGCACATACACATTAAGGATTGTTGTATCTTTTTGGAAAACAGACTTTTAAAAAATCATTGTGTAGTTCTGTCTTGATCCCTTAAAAATTCCTATGATCTAAAGTCTACATTGTCAGAAATTAATATAGCTATTCTTACTTTCTTTTGATTAGTGTTAGCATGATAGATCTAACTTTTCTTGGTAAAGGCCATTCTTTATCATTTTACTTTTAATCTATGTGTGTTGTTTTATTTATAGTGGATTTGTTGTAGACAACATATAATTGGGACTTATTTTTCGATTCTCACAATCTTGGTATTTTCTTTGGTGTATTTAGACCATCGATGTACACAGTGATTGTTGATATATTTAAATTCATATTTACTATATTTGTTATTGTTTTTTATTTATTGCCCTTATTCTGTGTTTGTACTTTTACCTTTCACACTTTTTCTGCCTTTTGTCGTTTTAATTGAGCTTTCTGTATGATCCCATTTTCTCTCTCTTCTCAGCATATCTATTATGTGTCTTAAAAAAAAATTAGTTGGTCTTCTTTCAGATAACACTATACTTTTTCACAGGTAGTGCACGTATCTTATAACAACAAAGTATTCTTGATTCCTCCCTCCCATCACTTATATCATTGCTGTCATTCATTTTACATCCACATAAGCATATGTATATAATATATAAAAGAATACATGATGGAATATATTGTTGCTATTATTATTTCAAACAACCCATTATATGATAGTTCAATTAAGAATAAGAAAAATAGGCGAGGAGCAGTGGCTCATGCCTGTAATCCCAGCACTTTGGGAGGCCGAGGCAGGCAGATCACCTGAAGTCAGGAGTTCAAGACCAGCCTGGCCAACATGGTGAAACCCTGTCTCTACAAAAAATACAAAAATTAGCCAGGTGTGGTGGTGCGTGCCTGTAATTCCAGCCACCTGGGAGGCTGAGGCAGGAGAATCGCTGGAACCTGGGAGGCGGAGGCTGCAGTGAGCCGAGATCGTACCACTATTCTGAGCCTGGGTGACAGAGCAAGACTACAACTCAAAAAAAAAAAAGGAAAAGTTTTTATTTTACCTTCACTTATTCCTTCTTTGATGCATCCTTTCTTCATGTAGATCCAGGTTTCTGATCGATGTTATTTTCTTATGTTAAAAGAGCTGCTTTTAACATTTTTTGCAAGGCAGGTCTACTGGCAACAAATTCCCTCAACTTGTGTTTGAGGAAGTCTCTATCCCTTCTTCATCTTTGAAGATCAATCTTTTTTTTTTTTTTTGCGACAGAGTCTCGCTCTATTACCCAGGCTAGAGTGCAGTGGTGCTATCTCAGCTCACTGCAAGCTCTGCCTTCTAGGTTCATGCCATTCTCCTGCCTCAGCCTCCCGAGTAGCTGGGACTACAGGCGCCCAACCACACCCAGCTAATTTTTTTGTATTTTTTTAGTAGAGATGGGGTTTCACCACATTAGGCAGGATGGTCTCGATCTCCTGACCTCGTGATCCACCCACCTTGGCCTCTCAGAGTGCTGGGATTACAGGCGTGAGCCACCGCGCCTGGCCTGAAGATCAATCTTAAATGGTACAGAATTCTAGGTGGTCATTTTTTTTTTCTCTGAGCCCTTTAAATATTTCCCTCTCCTCTCTTCTTTCCTGCATGGTTTCTGAGAAGACATTAGTTATAATCCTTCTCTTTGCTCCTCTATTGATAGGTAAGGTGTTTCTTTCAATTTTTTTTCTTTATCTTTGATTTTCTGCAATTTGAATATGATATGCCTCAGTGTAGTTTTTGGAGCCTTTATACTATTCTGTGTGTTCTCTAAGTTTCCTTAATTTGCGTTTTGGTGTTCAACATTAATTTGGGGAAATTCTTAGTCATTATTGCTTCCAGTATTTCTCCTGTTCCTTTCTCTCTTTCTTCTCCTTCCGATATTCCCATCATGCATATTTACACCACTGTAATTGTTCCACAGTTCTTGGATATTATTTCAATTTTTTTCATCTTTTTTGTCTTTGCATTTGAGTTTTAGAAGTTTCTAATGTCATGTCCTAAAGTTTAGAGATTTTTTTCCTCAGCATGTCATGTCTGCTAATGAGCCCATTAAAGACATTCCTCATTCTCTACAGTGTTTTTGATCTCTAGCATTTCCTTTTGATTCTTTCTCATAATTTCCATTTCGCTGCTTACATTATCTGTCTGTTCTTGTGTGTTACCTACTTTTTCCATTAGAGTCCCTAGCATATTAATTATAGTTGTTTTAAATTCCTGATCTGATCATTCCAACATTGTTCTATATCTGAGTCTGGTTCTGATACTTGCTGTGTCTCTTTAAACTGTGCGTGCGTGCGTGTGTGTGTGTGTGTGTGTGTGTGTGTGCGCGCGTGTGTGTGTGTGTTTAACCTCTTAGTGTGCCTTGTAATTTTATGTTGAAAGCTGGATGTGATGGACTTGGTGCACGGAACCCTGGTAAACAGGCCTTTAGTTGTGTGGTGTTAAGGTGTAGTGGGAGGGGAAGCTTGCTATAGTCCTATGATTTGGTCTCATTCTTTTAGGGAACCTTTGTGTCTGGGCTGTGAGCCTCACATTTGCTTCTCAGCTTCCCCCTCTCCACATCCTTAGGTGATACTAAAGTCTAGCAGAGGCTGGTTATTTCCTGTTCCTCAGATTGGACAGGCTCTGATAAATGCTAGCAGTTTAGTCCCTGTTTAAATAGTTTCTCCCGATGGCAGGCCTTATTAATAAGAACACAGTGCCCTGGCTTCTTTCAAAATGGTTATTTTCCCCTCTCACTGTTGTAAGCATGAGGGGATATTTCTTCAATATTCACTGTGAGGATCTGGTAGAGCTCCAGGAGGTAAAACTCACACAAATATAGCTGCCACACCCCCATGACTGGGTCCCCCTGGAGTTTTTAATCTCTTAGGCTTGTCCACAGTGAGCCTCCAGGAATTTTCCACTACAGTTTAGGTTTTCCTACCCCCGTAGTGGATCTTCAGGGGTTTCTACTTACAGGCTTCTGCTCCAGTGAATTGTGATTCCTTGTATTCACCTGTCCAATTTGGGGGGCTGTGGCTTGTGACATTTCTCCAACAGATCCAAGGCAGATCTCTAAGAAGTGCTGATTTTTCATTTTATTCAGCTTTTTACTGTTAGGACGGAATAACGACTTTCAAGCTCCTTACATGCCTATTGGGAACTGGACGTCCGTTTATGAAGTGTTTGCTTTGCTGGCAAGAGTGTTTGCTGGTGAGAGTGTTTGCTGGTGAGAGTGTTTGCACGTTGTGTTCTTGACTGTGGTTGGACAAGCGTCACCCCAGGGAGTCCAAGCCCCTCCTTTGTGCCCTCCCCATGCGTTGTCCCACCTACACCAGATGCAGGTATGTCACTGTCTCCTCCAGGAACTCTGACTGGACGCATGCATGCAGTCAATTTGTGTGTTAAGTCGGCCTCCCTGTCATCTTTCCAGCTCCTGGATGAGTCATGAAGCCCTGAGCCACAGTTCTTTCATATGTAAAGTAAACATTACCCACACAATGGGGAGCATCTGAATAGAATAGTTAATATTCCTTTATTATAATAATAGGAAGCTAGGATACACACTTCTGTTGTGTGGATTAATGAGAGACTTCCTATGGATTATCTTCTATTAAAAACATACAAGTGTTCTGATGGTTTTCAGGCAAATAGAGAGAGGGAGGGAAAAGCCATCTTCAGGTCATAGGCTGGATTTGACCATTGAGAGTCATACCTTACTTAAAATCATTTGAGTGCTCACATTGACTCTGCCTTTCATATCCTTAACTATTGCATACAGTTGGTTTTCTTATCTTCAAAGAGATCAGAATGTACTGATTTGCCTCTCTTTTGAGTTATTAGTAGTAATTTTTGATAAATGCACAATGTCTTTTTATTTTGCCAAAGGGCTTTCTTTCCTTTTTATGTTGAAACCATTTTTCTTACTAAACCAACATACACATAATTTTTTTGTTGTTAGAAATTATTTTCTTGTGATTGAAAAATACATTTTCCCTAAGCATGAGGAACACAGCTAAAGTTTTATGGTTTGCAAGAAACCGCTGGCCATGGCACTTCCCAGTGTGTCAGTGGTGTGTTCAGGAAGCTCAGTGGCTTCCTGTGTTCTGTGTGTTGGGCATGTAGCAGTTGTAGACAGATGGGCGGGAAGACATGACACCAAGCTGGATGCTTTTATGGCCACAGAACCCACTGACAGATGAAGGAGCCAGATCTAACAGGGCAGAGCAGTGATGTTCCAGGCCAACAGTCTCCAATTTTCTGATCGCACACTCTATGAACAGACGTATATTTAGACCACCTCCCACACACATATGTATTAAAATGCTTACTTAGGAATTACATGCATATTGCCGTACAGATTTATTGATACATTCTAAATGAAATGGGATAGTTCCCTTGACCCCTTCACAGGACTCAGCCCACAGCTCTCAGCCCCTCATGGGAGGAGCAGCATGCAGGTGAGTGGGTGCAGGGGCTGGGGTGAGTGCTTTTGGGCATCGGCAGGAGTAGAACTCTGTGCAGCCCCCCGGCAGCATCTGGGTGGGGCTACCTGTGACCCCTGGAGCCCTAGAGGGCATATGTTACAGTGTGCTCTTAGATTTGCTGTCCACAGATGACTTAAGTGTTAGCTCAGTGCAAGGTCAGTGTGACAGCCTTTTGCATCCACCCTCTTGGTACCTGAATTCTCGTCCGGTGTCCAGGAAGAATCAAGTTGTGCAAACAAATTGAAGGATGGTGAATGTGGAGGACTTTATTGAGCACTGGAAGTGGCTCTCAGTGGGATGGGAAGCTAGAAAGGGGGTTAAGTGGGAAGATGGTCTTCCCCTGGAGTCCTGCTGTCCCCAGCCAAACTCTTCTCCAAAGTCCTGCTGTCAAGCTGTCCCTCTGAAATCAAGCTGATTCTCTCCAACATCCGGCTGTTTCTTCTCTCCTTCTCTATTGCTTTGCTGGTAGGGCCTGGGGTTTTTATGGGTACAAGATGGAGGGTGGGGCGGGCCGGGGTGGTTTTGGAAAAGGCAACATTCGGGCAGGAAAACAGAAATGCATGTTCTCACTTTGGGCCCTACGGTTCCAGGCTTGAGGGTGTGGCGTTTGCTAGGGACCACTCTCTCCTACCCAGTATTTCCCTGCCTCCTGTTTGTATCATAAAGTGTATTTAAAATAAGCTATTATAAAGGATGAGGAAAATACTTGACAATGTCTGTCATTTTCTTTCTTTGCCCCAGAAGATTGTCTTATGTGGCCCCACTTTGGAGACTACCACTCTTGGGGCTGCCGTGGTCACAAAAACCCAGATTATTGTTTTAACTCTATTTCTTGCCTTGGTTCATCGTACTTTGGGGAAGAATCTGGAATTTGTATAAAGTATACCACCCAAGTGGCAGTCCCAGCTGGAAGTCATGGAATGGGGGCAAGAACAATAACCTGGGAGCACGGGATCTGGGTTCGGAACAAGGATGATGGCCGGGAGCTCTAGGCTCAGCTGTGCCACCAGTCCTGTGGCCTTAGACAAGTTAAGGAGTATTTGGGTTTTGTTTTCCTTGTCTGTAAAATTTAGATACATTCTTGCTCTAAAACTCTTTGATTCTGTTAACTGTGTCTTACCATTTCCCTTTAATCTCTATTCTCAGATTGGAATCACCAATTTTATTTTCTTTTACATGCTGTAAAAATATATCTCTGTAGTTCCCCCCACCCTCATACCACATTTCAGGTCTACTGTGGATGAGTTTTTGCCCATAAACTCTGTGACCCTTGCTTCTATTTCAGCATCATGCTTTCTACTTGGAACCACTGAATTTTTTTTTTCAGTGTTGGTTTTTAAAATATTGTCTTCAAATAGAGTATGTATATTAGTCAATATTTTGTATTTTGGAAATCTATCTGATAGAGAAGAATGTCATTTTTTCCCCTTGGTGTGGAAAAACTTCTGGATTGAAAAATAAGTTTCTCCCTGTAATTGTCTCTGAATCTGACCAGCCAGCCAGCTGGCAGAAGGACTGGCAAAGGAGCGGGGGCCGGAAGAGGAGCAGGGGCCAGTAGAGGAGTGGGGCCGGAAGAGGAGCAGGGGCAGCTGTAGGGGCTAGAAGGCCGAGGTCTGCCTCTGAGGACAGCTGTTGATGAGGTTCTTGTTGGAGATCTCTCACCCTTTGGTCAACGTGGCCTTTTGGAGCAGATTTTCTCTTTGCCTTTATGAGACCTTAGTGTCATTCTTGTATTCCTTAGTAACCTTGTGTAAAGGGCTGAGGCTTAGGAGAGACGAGGGTAGGGAGAGAGTTCAGAAAGGAGAGTCCTAAGGCCGTCTGGATTCTCCTTGAGCCCCCTCCCCATCCTGGTCCTGGGCTGTGTCTTCATCACAGCCACCCCTCCCCGATGTGCTGTTGGTTCAGTTACCCCAGACAGTGGATTTCTCAGAACAGAAATTGCTAATGTTCACGTAAAGATGAATGAAATGGGAATGATGAAATGTGTTAAGAGAACTTAAATCCAGGGTGTGAATTGCCACTGATCCTAACAGAGACGTTTTAGCTTTTCTACTTCCCACCTGCCGGAAGAAAGATGAGATAAACCACTTGTGTTATTTGTTCAGCATTGCTGCAGCATCAGAGAGGAGTGTTCCCCGACCCTTTGTTTTTCTAGGTGACTTAATGGGTTCTGGCATTGTGCATTTATCTTTTTAATTGTGGTAAAAGATGCGTAACACTAAAGTTGCCATTTTAAGCGTTGTTAAGCATACAGGTCCGTGGCATTAAGCGCATTCACAGTGTTGTGCAGTCATCACCACCATCAATTAGAGCTGTTTTCATCTTGCAAAATGGAAACTGTACCCATGTAGTACCAATGTCCCATTCCTCCCTCTCCCAGGCCCTGGTATTCCTGTTTCTATGAATTTGGTTCCTCTGGGTCCCTCATATGAGTGCAGCCTTACAGTACTTGTCCTTTATTTCTGGCTTGTTCACTTAGCATAACTCCTCCAGGTTCACCCATGTTGTGGGTCAGAATTCCCTTCCTGTGTCTCTGTGAACCATGTGCCCTGTGATACATGTCGTGTGAGGTGGAACCGTGTGACACTTGTGGGGAGCGAAGTCTACGTAGTTCTTCATGAGCCAGGCCTGAGGCCAGTGATCTGCACAGTGTTGTCATAAGGAAAATAAGTGGCTGTCAGTGTCTTTAGGGAAGCATCTTTTAAAAAGCAAGCAATGTGTGTATTGTACGTTTTAGAAATTCAGATAAGCAAAAATAAGAAAATTATATTCATACATAATTCTACCATCCAGAAACAACCACCATTCCTCTCCCACTGCGTGTTCCTCCATACTTGCCCTGGGCGTATACCCAGGTGGGTGTGCTGCCCCCATAGCTGAGACGAAGGGGTCTCCTCTGCATGGGATGCGCCAAGACCCACGCACTTGAAGCCTCAGGCCTTGCACAGTTTCTTAGAGTTGGCTCCTGGGACCAAATGCTCCTGAAGCATCTGGCCTCTCTGACAACAGGTCCTGAGTTTTATCCCACATTCAAAGTTCAATCTTTTCGTGAATTTCTATGAAAATTCAGGTCATCCACAAGGTGACTAGCATTTCAGTAGATTTGGGGGATTTGCTGAGACGTCTCTCCACACACGCCCATCTCTCTTTCAGAGCCCCCTCTGGGCTCTGACTCCCTGATCGGGGGCCACCCTCCTCTCTCTTCTCTCCTGAAACGGGGCCTTTTTCTATGGGCAGTTCCCTACCATCTGCTTACAGCTAGATTTTTACAAATACAGCACTGTGGTGTACCATCTCTGCTTGGGCGATATATCGGGAACTCCTTTTCACATCCATAAACATCTCCTATAGCATTTTAATGGCAGCAACATCTCGACCGCCATCGGCTCATTGAACTTATTTTTTGTTGTGGGACATAAAGAGGGGTTCCAGCCAGTATCCTGAGAGGTAAATCTTTGTTTAAGTCCATGATTATTTTCTTGAAATGAATTCCTAAAAGTGAAATTGCAGGGTCAATGGCAATGCATGCATTTTTTAATATTAGTTGCCATTTTATCTTCCACAGGGGGCCTATTTTCTTACTCTAGCCAACATTAAAAAATCTTCATTGTCCTTCTCCTGTTCCAACAAGCAAGAAAGTGGAGACCAAGGGCTGAGATCAGTAGCCAGAAATGTAATGGAGCTGTTTAAAAATAGTTATCTTAAGCTTTATTAGTCGAAATACAGTGTCTAGAAGCAGTCACGTGACATCCAGTGTTCTCTGGGCTCCCACCCCATAGCTGAAGTGTTTAGTTCTCTTCAGAGCACAGAGTGTTCAGGGATGCTGATAAACTAGAGTTAGTCCGGCTGACAGTGACTCAGATTTTGAGGAAGCGGAAGCAGTGTCCGATGAGGAACATGTGCAGTAACTGTGGATGTTTTTACAGAAGGGCTTCCAAGGGGAAGTGGGATCATGATGTCTGAATATTTGAAAGGCTACCATATAAAAGAGGCTGAAGACTTTTTTTCTCTTTTTATTTGAGACTTCTGTTTCTTTTATTTGAGCAGAAATTAGAGGGAAGCATTTTTTTGTTTCTGTTGTTGTTTTGAGACAGGGTCTCACCAACCCAGGTTGGAGTGCAGTAGTGCAATCATAGCTCACTGCAGCCTCAAAGTCCTGGGCTTAAGCAGTCCTCCTGCTTCAGCCTCCCACACAGCTAGGACTACGGGTATGTGCCACTATGCCAGACACATTTTTAAAATTTTTTGCAGAGACAGCATCTCGCTATGTTCCCCAGGCTGATCTCAAACTCCTGAGCCCAAGTGATCCCTATTCCTTGGCCTCCCAAAGTGCTGGGATCATAGGCGTGAGCCACCGTGCCCATTCAGGAAGCAGCGTTTGTTTTTATCTGAGGAAGCCCCCACCAACAGTTCTCGCTGTCCAGTGAAACAGCTGCCTTTTGAAACGGGGGGCTCCCCATGCTCAGCACCTCTTCAGCTGTGGCTGGACATTAGGGACTGTAATGGAAAGATTTTCACACCTGGAGAGATGATGTCCACAGTTCCTTCTGAGTCCAACAACAGGTGATGCCAGTGTTTCAGAGACAGGAACACCTGCTCTCAAAGTCAGAGACTCAGTCACTCCAGGGTGGAGACAGGACTGGCACTGCCACCTGAAAGGGGGCTGGGCAGCTGAGAACTGCACAGGCATGCAGGGTTGCTTTTTGGTGTTTCGCTTCAATTTTCCCCACTTAAAAGTGAGTTGTCGGGTGCAGTGGAGGGAACACAGACTGGGCATAATTAGGACCTGGGTTTGAGTTGTGGTTCCATCGTCTTACAGCTGTGATATGTTGGATAAGTTTAACTTCTGTGCCTTAGTTTCCTAACTTGTAAAGCAGAAACCCTCATATTTGACATGGTTATGGTATGGTGTGGACAAGGTCTTGTATGAAGTAGCAGACCAAGTAGTCACTGGTTAACAGATGCTGTCTTTCTCTCCTTCTGTCTTTTTCATCTGTTGGCTGGGATTCTGGGCAGTAGATTCACTTTGATATTATTACTGATATTTAGGATGAAAAAGAAGATTGGTCAAGACCATGTACAATAGGCTAAATTTATTATGGTTAGGTAGTACAACATATAACGAAAAATGAAGAATTTTCATTTCAAATTTGAAGAAGAGATATAGGATGATTCATACATGAAGATTTATTGCACTTTATCAATTTGATACTGTTTTGTGGTATATTTTTAGTTGTTTTGATAGCACAGATAATTTTAAACAAATGAAAACTATTTCCTCTATAACATCTGATATTTTCTTAGGTTTTCTTTTAAATAGCTTTTTATCACTTCTTTGGATTTCCTGGTTTTTTTGTCCTTAATCATGGATGTGTGGGATTCCCTATTTCAAGAGACGGTTTCTCACAGGTGAAGAAAATTTCCTGTGATACCACATATCCAGTGACAAATAATAAAACATAATTTATGGGCCTTTGTAATTGAAATGGATCTATTTGTTTGTAATCCTGGCCTTGTCCTCGTCTTTTCTTTCATGGTGTAGCATTATGACCTTCTAGAGGAAGAATATTAGGATTTTTTTTCTTTTAAGCACAGTAAAATTACATTCAATTTGAGATCAACCAAATAAATCTGAGAGCCTTGTCCTTTGATATTAAATACATTCTGTTTCCCTTCCTTGGCTGCTTTCCCAGCGGTTGCTCTGTTTTACGTGGGGTAGCTTTAGATTTGTTTAAGCTGTCTTTCCTGGGGAGGATTTGAATGAAGAGTTGCAGTACAGCAGTGAATACCTGTATAGAATCCTGAAGCCTCCTGCAGCCTGAATCCACTGAGACTCTCAGTTTCCTGCACAACGGGACCTGCATCCAGGAAGATACCTCCCCTCCCCTTGTACACCTGCGGGTGGTAGATGACAGCTCTTTGCCCAAGAGCATATGTCCTGATCTGCTGCTGAAGGACAGTCGCAACTGAGAGTCCTCTAAAGACCGCATTTGTGCATGTGCCTGTGCGTGAGCCTCTGTGTGCTGGGGTTTGCATGCGCCTCTCTGTGCTGGGGTGTGCGTGCGCCTCTGTGTGCTGGGGTCTTCATGTGCTTTGTGATGTTAATTCTTTGAAGGGTCAGTTTTATAGGTTTCTGTCATCTTTTTTTTTTCAAATATAAGGTTTAGTAAAAACAAAAATTTTAAGAAAGAAGTGGCATTGTTTGGAAAGGTAGCATTATTTTAAACCAACATTTATTTGAACAAGTCATCCAAATGCAAGTAGTCCCCTGATGACAAAAGCGTCTTTTTCAAAAAGTTCACTTGAAGATTGGTTATTAGGATCCCAGAATGAACTGTCCCATGGAAATGGTGTCCTGAGTGGCACTTAGGAGCGCTGTCTGGCTGTGTCTCTGGCTGCAGCCAGGTCCTAGAGTGTCAGCCACAGAGCTGATGCTGGCGGGGCCCCGAGCAGCCTTCCCGGGGCCTCAGTGCCTATGCTCAGCCTCCACTCCCAGGCACCATGGACCGTTACAGTCGCCAGCCACTCTCTGCTCAAGGGACACTGTCCTGCTCTCCAGCCTCGATAAGATGGGGAGAAAAGTTCCCAAAACTAAACCAGGAAAAAACAGATTCTGAAAAGGTAGCTATAACTCAGAGCCTGGTGGATGGGTTACGGGAGGGAGAAGAAATTCTGTACCCAAGGAAGTAGCAAAGCACAAAACCTTGTGCCCTGAATGATAGCGGGTGTGATGAAGAGTATCAGTGGGGAGGCATGCCGACTAAGTCAAAGATGGGGAAGAGAAAAAAGAAAAAGTTGCTGGGCCTGAAGTCTGTGTAACCCAGGGAGCAGTGGCCGGGTAGTGGCTAGTCAGGACAGTGGGCAGGGATGCGTCCTGCA
Source organism: Homo sapiens (assembly GCF_000001405.40). Taxonomy (NCBI): domain Eukaryota; kingdom Metazoa; phylum Chordata; class Mammalia; order Primates; family Hominidae; genus Homo; species Homo sapiens. Next base: position 230,194,326 of record NC_000001.11, read on the forward strand.
GAATGGACCGGCAGACAGAAGTGGTGGGAAGTTCACCTCCCACACCAGCCTTAGGGCCCCCTTCTCCTGCAGGGGTCCAGAGCCAGGACTTGTCAGGCCACCGTAGGTCTGCTCTGTCTCTCCAGGTCCTGGCCCTTCTCTCCCAGAGGCAGAAGAATTAACCTGGGCCCATCCCCTCTCTGACTGTACACATTGTTTTTCATGGCTACAGGGATAAGAAGGGAAGGCCTTAGGGCCATCAGTCCAAAGGTAATGGACAAGGAATCTCCCTTCCTCTTGCGGTTAGCCCAGCCCTTCAAATGGACTGGCCTCCATTTGCCATCAGACATCAGATGCAGCTGCGAGGTGGCCAGGAGGGGAGGGACACTCTCCCCACAGTGCCACAGGCCTCTGGGAACAGTGTCAGAACAAGTTGCAGGAACGCCTGTAGGGCTTAGCAGGATGTTCATTTTCATTACTGAAGTGCACTGCTTAGCAGCTTCCGGGCTGGGCCCCCATCCACCATAGAGGGGAGCAGAGAGAGCTGTGGCAGCCTATTCCAGTGCGTGCGGAGGGGTCAGTGCTGAAGATGACAAGCATAGGTCTGTGGACACGAGGGGAGGAGAGAGAGCAAGAAGAGCATCCCAGCTCTGCGGGGAGAAGAAGTGGAGCCTGCCCGTTCCCATTGGGCCTCCATCTTCTCTGTCCAGACTTGATCTCCAAACTGAAAAGGGTACAGCAAACAAGGTTAGAAGGGTATTGAAGTCTGAGTCAGGTGGAGAGAGACAGGACTCATTTTAAACGGCTTTCAGTGAATGTGTCTCCAAGTCCGGACCAAGGTCAAGACAGGGAGGGCACAGCCAGAACCCGAGAGGTGGCTATAATTTCTGGGGAGTGACTTGGGAGTCACTGAGGTGCCGGCAGAGCAGGAACAAACACCATTGTCTCTGTGTTTGTTGCTGTGTTCAGTGGCAGTTAGATGTGGTTAAACTTGAGCTCTAGCCTTGGTGGAATTTCAAGTTATTAGACAGAAGAGTGGAAGCACTTATAAGGCCCCCTGGCAAGAGGGTTTTAGAAAAGCTGTGGTTGGGATAGAGCTCTGCGTGAGGGGGCAGGAAGAGGCTTGCAGAGAGAGGAGAAAGAAAAGAGAGAGGGTGCAGAGAGGCAGCAGCTAGGGACCCCAGGGAGGGCTCCTGGAGGAGGTAGCCACATTGAGAGGCAGCTCAGCTGGCAGGAGGGGTAGACACATACATCGCAGTGGCCCTGCCTTATCTGTAAGTATGCACAGCATCAGCGGTGCGGGCATGGCTAGGAAGACCAGCTTTAGTAAGAGTTCCCAGGTACACCTTCTGGGGTTGCCGATGGGACTGACAAAACAGTAATGAAGTATTAGCCAGGTTAGTGGAAGCATGGCAGCCTTCCTGAGAGGTGCTGTGCCCGCACCGCCACAGATTCCACCGTGGCTCCTCCTGGAGGAGGAGGGAGCGCTGGGGAGGCACCACTGGCCACACAAGCCGGAGGTGAGCAGAGACCTGGACGTGAGTTTGGGGCTTGCAGGGGCTGGGCTGGCTTGGAGGTGACATGGCATTTGGCTGGGGACAATCCTCAGATAGGGGCAGGGCCTTCCTGAGCAGGGGGCAGATGTGCACTAGGCTGTACACACTTGCACCAGGGTCGTCAGCCTCCTCACTTTCGTCTCCTGTCTGAGCATCCTTCGTTCCACAGCCAGAGGCACATTCCTGGAGTGCAAAGTGGATCAGCACTCATTTACTCCAAATATCCTGTGCACTCTAGAATGTGGGGAGTAAGGTTCAAGTACTTCAGCCCAGGCTAGAGGATTTGCAGCCACTGGGCACAGGGCCCCCTCACCTCCTGCCTGCCGTCCCTCCCTACTGGGTCTCTTCTGTCTCTGGGTGTCTTCTGTTACATGCCTCCTGCATCTGGCAGGCTCCTGCTCACGCTTCAAGACCCAGCCCAAGTGCCCTTTCTCCGGGGCTTTCTTGGAACCTTGGCTTGGTTATGGAGCTATCCCATCTCCTCCTCACTTTTGGATGGCGGGTCTTTCCAGTGAGGTGTTTGTTAATTTCCGTACATTTGCTTGGGCTTGGCATTTTCACTGTACTGGGCTGTTCTGATCAACTTGGGGAAAATAGAGGGTGGTGGACTGTTTTTCTCCAAAATTAAGACCCAAAATAAAATGTCTGTCTTATGAGGTCACCCATACATTCCTCAGGACGGCAAGTGCGAGACGTCCCTTTAGTATTCTTCCAACCCTAGGATTGAGAGAGGGTGGGTGTGGGTCTTGACAGGAGATGGGAAGGTACAGCTCCACCTGGGGACACAGGCTTCTGCATTCTTGCCCCGTCCAGCACACAAGCTGCTGTCAGCAGGCAGGCCCCGCTTCTCCTCATCCCATCCCCACTGAGCAGGAGAAGTTCCGCATCTGAGTGGGAGCCCCCAGAGGCTTTGTGGCCCTCAATAGCCCTCTGGGTGATGCAGAGAGCAGGAGAAAATGGTAAAGGAAGGTGCCCATGGCATGCACAGGTGAGGGGCAGAGGGCTGGTGCTTCCCGTCTCTGCACAGTCCTGAGAACTGGGTTTCTCAGACCCAGTACCGCCAAGGAATGTGAAAAACAGCTTAAGTGGAAAACCTAGGGACCTAACTGATCATGATATGGCTGATAGTAAAACTAATTTTCTCTTAGAGTAGGCCCCTGGCACTTCCATTTTGTAGTGGGCTGTGTCTGGACTATTCCTCTTTCAAGCACTAACACCCCTGGCTTCAGAGCAAGCCTCTCTTCCTCCACACTCCACCTGACATGGGACCTGTCTCGCATCTCCCCCTGCCTGAAACAAGCAGAGAATGACATTGAGTTGTTATTTCCAGGTGTTTCTTGGGAGCAGCAGATGGAAATGAAAGGATACAAGTGTAGACGTAGGTGAAATCATCCACTGGCCCCGCCTTCTCACTTCTCACAGCGCTATGGGGAGGGCGGGAGGTACTCGTGGGTAACAGCAGGGCATGAATTCAGTGCATCCGCAGGTCTGTACCCCTGCTCGCCTGGGCAGTGCCCACAGGACCCCCATAAAGAAAGCAGGGATTCCCTCTATGCTTCCTGCTCGCCCCCCCGGGGTCAGTTGCAGAGTGGGACACCCCTCATGGGTGTCACAGAGGGCCTGGTGGCTGGGTGGTTCCCAGCAGCCCTTTCTGGGTGAGGGCATAGGGGGTTACATCAGAGAGGCAGGGACATTCTGTTTGTGTTCGGTCATTTCTGCCTGTAAATATCAGTTAATTTTATAGTTAGTAGTGTAGGACTTTTGCTGTGATCATCTCATTTAGTTGTTATAACAACCCCAGAAGTGGAATATTATTTCCATTTTATACAAACCAGAGTGTCAGAGGGAGTCAGTGAGCCAGGCTCACCCTCATGCTTGGATTTTGTGCTCTGTGTGTGTGTGTGCATGCGTGCGTACATGCGTGCGTGTGTGTGTTCTGCTGCTCCTCTGCTCAAGTCCTTGAATCCTTATCAGTGACACAGCATTGGCCTGGACCCCTGTTGGCCAGCTCTGCACCCTCTGTTCCCCCGTGCTCCAGCCAGCGATCTGACTGATGGGGCAGGCAGGCTCGGGAGGGCTGACAGGCTTTGCGGTGGAACACATTTAAAAAATGCCTGCAAACGAGCGAAAGAGGCGTAGGAGTAAGCGTCCGGCGCAAGACCACAGCACGTCTCATATGCGGCTGTATCGGCACGCAGCGATGAGATGTGTAAGAACTAACACGAAGCTGCGTTCCTCCCAGTCACGCGCAGGATTGGATTCCTTTTCACGGTCAGCCTCCGGTACCTTCGACCCAGGACGAGACCCTCAGTAGTAAAGCCCTTAACAGGTGCTTGTGGACTGCGCATGTGGGATGCTGAGGTGCTGCGGGCGAGGCTGAGTCTGTGAGGTGAGGAGCTCCATCTTCACCTGGGTAGGAAAGGGAGCCTGGAGCAATACGAGGAGTGGCGCGGGCAGGACAGCAGCCCAGGAGAGTACGAGGAGTGGCAGGGGCAGGACCAGCAGCCCAGGAGCGTACGAGGAGTGGCAGGGGCAGGACAGCAGCCCAGGAGAGTACGAGGAGTGGCAGGGGCAGGACAGCAGCCCAGGAGCGTACGAGGAGTGGCAGGGGCAGGACAGCAGCCCAGGAGCGTACGAGGAGTGGCAGGGGCAGGACAGCAGCCCAGGAGAGTGAGACCCTTGTGGGCCCAGTGCTTCTCAGAGGACATGGCCATGCATGTGTGGAGCAGGGCAGTCTGTGGGACCACCTGAGGGTTTGACTGGGACTAGCGCAGACCTCATTCCAGCCCAGGTAGGTCGGCATGGGGTCGCAGACAGGTGACTTGTTCTGTCTGCGGAATAATCAGCTGTAAGCTTCTCATTTTTACTGAATCAGGGGTTTCAAGGCTGGTAAGGTCAAACAATTCCTTCTTTGGTTTCAAAGACCACATCTAAGAGAAGTCTATCTTCTGGAAAGAAATTTCCTCAAAAATATTTTCATAACCTTATTTAATAAGCAAACTTTTCGCAGCCCTTTTTAGGATAATGCTCTCTTTCTTTTCTCATGTTATTTAAATACCTTTCTCATGTTATTTAAATGTATGTTTTATTTTCCTGTCATCTTTGGTGATGAAGCTAGTTTCTGCCTCCTCATGTAAAATGTTATATCTTTGAAGTATTTTCCGTCAGCTGCTTCTGCTTAGCCAAGTCCACTTTCCCGAGATTCTCATATATTTTTATTTTCTAAAGCTGTTTAATTTCCAGAACTATTTTTAAAGATTTTTAAAAAGATGATAAAAGCACAAGATGATGTATGGATGACATGTCATATTTTTAGGAAGGCAATATATTCAGACGTTTTGTTGGTTGTTTTGTGGCTGTTTCTCTCTAACCTCTGACTCATACCCTACTCTGTGTACCTCTCGCCATGTCCCTGTTTGCGTGGGGTTGGGCTGGGACGCGTGTGCCCTCTGCAAACCTTGTTCTCCATGGATTTTCCTGCCTTTGCCTCTGGGGGTAGCTTCAAACCTAGCAATTCTATATAGTACAGAAATAACCAATTTTAGTAATGGTTCTTTAGCTTAGCGTTTTCCAAATTATGGGTTGTGACCCATCATTAGGTGGTGAAGCCAGTTTCGAGAGATACCTAAAACAAAAATAGAATAGATCTGTTCCTCGCATATAGTGAGGGTAAGTTTGGTATTGTGAGACTTTTGTATCAGTTGGGTGTGTATGTTTGCATTGTGACACCTGGGTCACAGTGTTAAAAGTGTGTCATTGTCAAGCAAACTTGAAAGCCCCTGTAGTATTCCAGTACTGCTAAGCTTTTATGAAAGAAATACTGTTGATAGTCTGTCTCTAGTAAAACAGCTGTGTGTCTCAGGGAGATTGCCACAAGACAAGGCAGGGCCCACACCAGGGTCCTGTTGAAGACGCTCCTGTGTCAAAGGAGGCGGCAGGGCAGGGTACCGCTCAGTAGGCTCATGTAGTCTTTGGGTGCTGAAGAAAGATGATATTTTTGTGAAGTTTCAAGGGCTTCTCCAAGTTCATTTTTACTCATGATTCAAATCTCAGTTCAGATATTCTTTCTGCAGGGAAGCCGCCCCTGGTTTCCCAGTCTAGATAAGATTGCTCCATTAGATGCTTCATTCTTCACCCTCAGAGCACTTAGCTCAGTTTTTATTGATACATTTATTAGTATGGTCATTTAATTCTTTTTTTTCTTTTTTTTTTTTTTTTTTGAGATGGAGTCTTGCACTGTTGCCCAGGCTGGAGTGCAGTGGTGCAATCTCGGCTCACTGCAACCTCCGCCTCCCAGGTTCAAACGATTCTCCTGCCTCAGCCTCCTGAGTAGCTGGGATTACAGGCGCCTGCCACCACGTCTGGCTAATTTTTTGTATTTTTAGTAGAGATGGGGTTTCACCATGTTGGCCAGGCTGGTCTCGAACGCCTGGCCTCGTGATCCACCTGCCTCGGCCTCCCCAAAGTGCTGGGATTACAGGCGTGAGCCAGTGCGCCCGGCCTAGTACAGTCATTTGATTCTTGTCTGTCTCCCTCTACCTCCTAGAACATGAAGTCCACAGCATGGGTCACGGGCCTGTGTGTGCTTATTCTCCCTGCAGGATCTAGCATGACACCTCATGTGGAGTCACCTAGTATGCACCGCAGGCCAGGGTCTGAGCTGCCCTGTGAATGACTGGCATTAGACATCTTGCAAACCCTGTGCTGTGATGGTCTTATTCCAGAAGGGCTGTGGGGGTGTGAGAGCACAAAGAGATGTATGGGTGGAAATGGGATTGAAGCTTCTAGAGCTGTGCAGAGGCCTTATCCCATGGCCACTGCTCTCCTTGCACACAGGCCCACACCAACCAGAGTCCTCAGACTTTGCTGTCCCCAGCACGCCGGTGAGAAGCAAGTAGGCTGTAAGCAGAGTTACATGGTAGGATGAAACCTCTCTCGGGTGGTGGTCTCTTCTCTGGCTGCGCATGGGACTCCGTCATGGTTCTTTATTCCATAGTTCAAAGTTCCGTGGTGCAGGGTATTCAGGACATTAAATACGTTTGTTAGAACCAGCTCATTGGAATTCTGCCGTAGGTGCTGCTGGTTTAGATTTTAACAAAAGCTTCAAAGCCTCTTTTGTATTAGTCCGTGAAAGGATAAACTCACTGGTGAGGAGTAGAAGCTGCTCGCTCTTGAGCGCAGGTAGGTGTTATTTTTCTTCTCATCCTTGAAAATATATGAGGGTGAAGGCAGGAAGATGAGGAGAGAGTGGAGGATCAGTAAGTATTTTTAGGATGGTCTTTGCACGGAAAACATGTTTCCAGTAACATGTTTTGGAAACATTTTATTTGCGGCATAAGAAGATGCTGACACCTTGGCCGGCTCCCACAGGCAGCTGTTTATTGGGGCCGTGGTATCATCGCTGTAGCCAGGCTCGTGGGTTTTGGAACTGATTTTCGATTTGAGAGGCCAGACTTCTGTGACACCCCCCAAGCATCATTTCCACGGCAACCAGCTGTGATGAGATGGGGGTTCTGACCTCGCAGGACCATTGCAACAAGAAGCAGATGAGCTTTTAGATAGAAAATTTACTCTTCTGTCTTGAACAAATTACATGTAACTGATTCTCAGTTTCCTCATCTCTGAAATAGAGAAAGGAACACAATGGCCCTTCAATTGTGTAATGAGGGATTTCTGTTGGGAAAGTAGATATGGAGGTACACATGCTATTATCATACCGTGTTTTCAAGGTCAACTGCACGACCCAAGGGTTGACACGCTGCAAAAGAGCTGTCTCCCCCTTGCTGCCCTGTTTCGTGTAGCTGCCGGCAGCCCTGCCTTCCCCTCTCCAACCTTGGCTCTGACGGCCAGGCTCTTGCTTGCTCCTTAGTCACACTGGCCTCCTGGCTGGTTCCTGAATGGGCATGCTCATGTCGACACTAGGACCTTTGCACTGCGGTGCCCTATTCTCCCGGAGAGTTGCATGCCCACACCCTGCCTTTGTTCAGTTATCTGCTCAAAATCATCTTGCTAGGCCTTACCAGACCACCCCATAAAGAACAGGAACCCTGTACTCCCTGCCCCCATAACAGCCTTATGTTTCTTCATGGCAGTTCCAACCACTGGAAATTGTATGAGTTTCATGTGAGCAGGGTTGTTGGTGGTGTTTATTATTATTTTTTAGTTTGTCATATCTATGAAGTGGAACATTGTAGGCCATTAAGTCCTCGTGAAGAACCTTTTGTTATTCTATTTACTTATTTTGTAGGAAACTTAATTTCAAACAATGAATAGCGTATCCGAGATCATATAGGTGGCAAATGGCGAATGGTGCTTGATTGAAACCCAGGTTGACACAGAATCATAAATGTTCTCCTTGCTTCAAGTCTGCCTCTCCTTCCACCTGTCTTCTGCTGTTTGAGCATCCTGCCTTTGTGCATTTCTCTGGCTCTGCCTTTATTACACCTGGGCTCATCCTGACTTCACTCGCCTAGCAGTGCTCTCCTCTCAATGCTCCTTGGTCGCCAACACTGCCTCTGCCCTAGGGTAGAGCTCCTCAGTGCAGTGGTGTGTTCTTGGAGAACCTTGTGCCTGGCATTCTAGGGTTCAGGCCAATGCCAGGGGACAGGCAGGCTGCCTTGGCTTCCTTTCTTCCAGGAAGAGAACAGGTATGATGTGTGTGTTAGGAATGGCCAGGCCCCTGCTGTGCATATGAGGACACCTCTGAGAGCCACATCCTTCACTTTCTCCCCGTGGGGTCAGGCATACTAACAGCTGCAAAAAGGACCCCTTGACAAGGTCTCACCAAAGGGTATTTTGATATCCTGTTCTTTAGGGGTTATTTTTTGTATAAACATTTATTTTTGTGTTACCTGATGTTACATGATGGAATACCTTATGTGCAGTTTATACATGATCTTCTTCACCCTACCTGAGATAATGTCAACATTATAATCCCTGGAAAGGTGGGACAAGCTGAGAACATCTCCTTTTATAGAAAACATGAATGATGCCACAGTTACAGGTACTTTGATCTTACTTTGTTCACTGGACAGATGCCTGTACACCAGGCCTTTAACTTTCATGCTGTAAATGGCAAACCTGCAGTTTCCTATTCTCTGGGTTGTAGACAGGATGATGCTTGCTTGTGCTGTTTTCAGCTAGTTTGTTGTTTAAAATGGCCACTATATAAAGAAGCCATGGATGTGATTTCTGGAGTTAACACTTACTGCAGTCTCTGTGATGAGCACTTGGTCACATTTTCCCTCATCCCTACCCTCTGCTCTGCTCTTTTTAGGGAAAGTACGGTGGCCAGACTTTAACCAGGAAGCTTATGTTGGAGGGACGATGGTCCGCTCCGGGCAGGACCCTTACGCCCGCAACAAGTTCAACCAGGTGGAGAGTGATAAGCTTCGAATGGACAGAGCCATCCCTGACACCCGGCATGACCAGTAAGTACCCCACTAAGCACCTGCTGCAGCTTCATTTGCTTTCACACAAACCAGTACGTCGCTTTCACCTGTGACACTAGAACTTCTCCATTACTCTGGGAAATTGAATGTGTGTTGTAAAACTAGGAAAAATCCTGAGGTATATGGCAATGGAACTTCATCCATAGGCAGTGGAAGGATGGTTCTAGATTCAGCTCTAGTCTTTAGGTGCCCTGTGGCAGTGTGCAGAGGCTGTGGGTTTCTGGCCAGAGCGTGGAAGTCAGAAAGAGAGTTGTGTGACTGGCTTTATATTTAGTGATCACTTGTTATTTTTATGATCCATTCACAAAAATGCAAAATTTGTCATTGTTCCCAACCTTGGAGGAAGAAAATCTAAATTCCTGCTTATTGTGACAGCTTATATTGGAAATGTTCTAAAGATTAGAAAGGAGAAATGAACTACCCAGCACAATAGATGTTAAATTGAGCAGAAACACAGGAGGGACAGGTGCCACATCTCCACACCCTGTACTAAAGGAAGGGCTCTTGTCCACATCTTTCTTTCTATTTTTAGAGATAGGGTCTCCCTCTATCACCCAGGTTGGAATGCAGTGGTGCGATCATAGCTCACTGTAACCTCAAACTCTTGGGCTCAAGCAATCCTCCCATCTCAGCCTCCTGAGTAGCTAGGACTACAGGCATTCACCACTACATCCAGATAATATTTATTTAAAATTTTTTATTTTTATTTTTTGGTAGAGGTGAAGTCTCTCCATTTGCTCAGGCTGGTTTTGAACTCCTGGCCTTAAGTGATCCTCCCGCCTTAGCCTCCCAAAGTGCTGGAATCACAAACATGAACCACTGCTCTCCTGACCTCCTTCTTTTTCTTTTTCTTTTTCTTTTTTTTTTTGGAGACTGAGTCTTGCTCTGTTGCCTAGGCTGGAATATAGTGATGTGATCTTGGCTCACTGCAACCTCTACTCCTCTACTTCCCAGGTTCAAGCAATTTGTGGCTCAGCCTCCCGAGTATCTGGAATTACAGCTGCCTGCCACCACACCTGACTAATTTTTGTATTTTTAGTAGAGATGGGATTTCACCATGTTGGCCAGGCTGGTCTCAAACTCCAGACCTCAAGTGATCCGCCCGCCTCGGCCTCCCAAAGTGCTGGGATTACAGGCATGCTCCACCTTGCCCACCCCTTTTTATTCTTCAAAGATCTTGAGAGTGGAGGGTACTTTGGGGTCTATGAAGCTCAGCTCAGGAGGTTGGTAGGCATTTTAAAAAGAGTATTTGTCACCACTTATCAGGAAAGTGATATGCATAACCCTCATTGTTATCCCATACCTGTAAGTTTGCTGATAAGAACCTTGATTGGGAGGTCTTTCACATTGGAATTCTCAGTGAATTAGTCTTGTTTCAGATTATTAAAAAATAAGGAGCTGCATTTTGAAGGCAGCTGTTTTCCTGGGTGCTTGGTATATCTTCCTGCTAAGTTAGAGTCATTCATTCATCAGTGAATGGAATATAGATTACACATCTACCATATGTCAGACTCTGTGCTCGGATCCTAGCATTTCACCCAGAAAAATCTGGTCCCATTCCAGCTGCTAGGGGTGGCAGGTGCACCAGGAAGTGAGGTCGTGTAGCTCCATGGGTTGGGCAGTCTACTTTGCATGAATACTTTTGAGGCACTCAGGAGGGTGGGAGGGTCAGGACAGGTCCCAAGAGCGGTGAATTGGGTGGGGACACCCAGGAAGAAGGAAGTGCAGAAGCCCTGCCAGGAAAGCATGGGGCTCCCAGAGAGCCAGCAAGTGTCTAATTTCACGGGCTGGAGTTTCAGGGATTGATGGGGGAGGGAGAGCTGGAGAGAGACAAATGGCCAGTGAAACTACATTCACACACACTGCATACAGTGAAAGAAGATTTTTCTCTCTTACTCTCAAGGACTTTATGGACAGTGTAGGTGCCAGTTAACTGCCAGGAGCTTCCTTTCTTAACAGCTTTCTTTGGGTTCTAGTCAGCTCTGTTCACCTATTCCAGCTCATATTTAAGAAATATGTAGCTTTACAGTTTTTTTAGGGCCATGGAAAAGTGTGTGTGTGTGTTTGTGTGTTAATATCTGATACATATGAGTATATGTAAACATACATATCTTATATAATAGTAAGAATCTCATCATTTTCCTAACTCCACTCCAAAAGATTGTCTTTGATTAATGTTTCCTGTCATCCATTAATTTCTTTTCTAAAGCCAGCTCTACTCAGTCCTTATGCTGTCCTGGTTAAAGTCAGCTTGACTAACTGTTTAGTACTGTATCTAAAATAAGGGGTGACAACCTGGGGTCCAAGGACCTCCAGGGAGCCATGCATGGGCTTTGGGATGTTGTGAAAGTGTTGAGGCCGAAGCTGTGTGCAAGATCGCAAGTGTATATGTAGGTGCGTTTCTGGGGACAGGGTCCTTCACTTTTTCCAGAGGGTCCCAGGTGTGTACTTCCCCACCACCAGCCCATCCCCAGGCTAACCAGGCCAAGCAGCCCATGCCAGGTGCTTCTCCGGCCCCCACCCACGTAATCCACACAACCCTTTAAGATAGGCTTGAAGCTTATCTTCATACACAGAGAGGAAACGGAGGTGCCCGGAATGTTGATAACTTGCCCAGTGATTAAGAGCTACTGACTGAAGACCAGAAAGCGTCCGTGTAGCTTTTAAGAAGGGCTTGGCCTAAACTCAGGGGAATAAAGTCTAGCAGAATCTAGTGCAGAAATCTTCCCTGATGACTTCAGTCGACTGCTTGGCATGACATCTCCATGAGATGGTCTGAATTTCTTTTCACCATGTGGGTTAAGAGCTAGTTTTCCCACAAGATTTTATCTTTACATACTTAACTTACCCTGTGAGCTGAGAGAAGAATGGTGTTCTTTCTCATGGCTCATCAGCATGTGGGCTGGCTTTCTCATCTGCCTCCCTTGCAAGTCCCTACAAAGTCCCCAAAACTATATGTACGTATATTTTTTTTCAAAGTTTTTGAAATATGAGTTTGTCCAAACAGATGTTTGAATATTCATCCCACAGTGTGGGATGCATTTTAGGTGGGTTTAATTTTAGTTCCAGCCAGTGTGTCATGTTCATTTGCATGTGTTAAAGGGGCAGCTGGGATGCCTTCCACATTTGTTGGATTTGGGCTAAATTAAAGTCTATCCATAGTCAATTGGATGCCTAGAGCTGAGCCGATTTAATGTCTCAAAGTGTAAGCTCTAGAATTACCATTCTTGTTGAATGTCAGGTTAAGAAGATTGGGTTACCTCTTTGAATTTCTCTCCCAATATATCTAATGGGGAGCTATTTCAGAATTTGACCTTTCTGTATAAAATGTTTTTTGTCTCTGCAGTATCTACCTTCGTGTTGATCAATAGAAATTCTTGCACAGTAGAATTCAGTCTTTAGTTTTGATAAATCTGAAAGCAGTACAGGTGGAGGGTAATTAAGAATGAGGTGTTTGGAGTCCTACAGACCTGGGTTGAAAATCTCAGACCCTCCAGTTCTTAATTCTGTGACCTTTATCATCTATAAGATGATAGAACATTACTCCATCTGTAACCTATGAAGATTAAGCAACATGTTTACATGGGCTGGTTGCCCCTCCCCTGAGCCACCTCAGTGAGGTATCCCTTGACCATCTTCCCTAGGAGTTCAACCCCCTGACCCCCACTCCAAAACTTCCCGTCCCCCTTTCCTGCTTGATTTTTCTCCACAGTTCCTCTCACCACCCACACACTGTGTATTTTACTTATTTTTTTCTTCCGAATAGTGAGTTATTGTATCCAGGGTTGTTATTCAGACACCTCCGGGCACTCAGTAAATTCAATAAGTATTTGCTGAGTGAGTGAATTGTTTAGCAGAGTGCCTGGCATATATTGAGTGCCCAATAAATCATGCAAGATATGAAGAATCATAAAAGAATACAGGAGAAGGAAAGGGGGATATTTAAGTATAAAGGTCCTGTGAACTCAAGATGGGCCACACACAAATAACCTCATTGTGTTTGTGTTCTCCCAGGACTGGAAAACTGCGATTATAATCCACCCCTTATTACCCTGAAGGATAGATACAAGGAATAAGGCTTCAGAGCCTCCCAAACAAACAGACAAACAAAAAACTCTGGGCTATGCTTTATTTACCTTTCTAGATGTATATATTGTACCAAGAAGAAATATTTACATGGAATCAGGAAGCACACAAAAGCCAGCTGTGAGTGAAATACTAAATACTATGTATAAGATATATTAGGTCCTCTTAGATATTAGAAAGATGATAGCCCATCTTATTTTTTTTTTCTTTTCTTTCTGCAAGGTCTCACTCTGTCACCCAGGCTGCAGTGGTACAATTTTGGCTCACTGTAGCCTTTCCCTCTTGGGCTCAAGTGATTCTCCTGCCCCAGCCTCCTGAGTAGCTGGGACCGTGGGTGCGCATCATGACGCTAGGCTAAGTTTTTGTAGAGATGGGGTCTTACTGTGTTGCCCAGGCTGGTCTCAAACTCCTGGCCTCAAGCAATTCTCCCGCCTTGGCCTCCCAAAATGCTGAGATAGTAAGTGTGAGCCACGGCATTCAGCCCCATCCTAGTTTTGAAAGCACCATTTCTTTTCTTTTTATTTTTAAATTGATATATCATAGTTGTTATCTATCTTGGCGGTACATGTGAGATTTTGATACCTGTCTACAATGTGTAATGATCAAGTCAGGGTAATTGGGATATCCCTCACCTCTAACAGTGATCTCTGCATGGTTTCTCAATTTAAAAAAATAATCTTCTTGCTTGGAAATTTCAAATAAATTATCAAGACTTAAAAGCAAATTAAACCAATGGGAATTCTGAAGTTTCTTTTTTGTAGTAAGTGTTTGTTTTTTCTCTCTCTCTCTGCGTTGGGAAGCTGTTCTTACTGTCCAGGCAGAAGGTAATGGAAAGTAGCATTGGTGGTGGTGAGAAGTGGTCTGGTGGGCTATATTCTGAAGGTGGGGCCAACAGGATGTGCTAATGGACTGGAGGGGGGTATGGCTTGGAAGAGGGTGCCAAGGATTGTGGCTGGCACAAGGGAAGACCTGCAGTCTCCTCAGCTGAGATATAGGGAGGCTGTGAGTGGAGCAGGTGTAGGGAAATGTGGACATGTTAATGCTGCTCAGTGTAGGTGGACCTGTTTTGTAGGTGGTGGGATATGTGTCTGGTGTTCAGGAGGAAGGTCTTAGCGGGAATGTAAATTTGGAAATGTTCAGCGTATGGATGGTATTTAAAACCGTGAGGCTGGGTGTTAAGCCCAAGGGAATGGATGCAGACAGAAGAGGCCCAAGGCCTGAGCCCTGGACGATTCCAACATTGAGATCTTTAGCTGTGAATCTGGAGCCAACGGCTGACACTTGAGGACAGTCTAACACTGTAGATTGCGTACTATTTTAGGCTGTGTTCCCGTGATCAGGAGATATAATTTTATGAAGCTATGCGACTGTGAAGCTAAAAGGAGCCTCAGGGGAGTGTCTAATTCAGTGGTTCTCAGCCTTGAGCTGTGCCACCCACCCAGAGCGAAGATGGAAATGTGGGGGTGGAGGATCGGGGGTTGTTAGAATACCCGTGGGGTGCTCCTGGCATTTACCACCAGGGCCCAATGAAGCCACATATTTCGTATAGCCCAGGTTGGTCTGGCACATTGAAGAGACTGTCCTACCCAAATGGCCACAGGGCTTCCTGTCAAGCCCTCATTTACTTATTTCCCCCCATTAGTTAAAAAAAAAAAAGCATGTTGAAGTTGTTTTTTTGTTTTTTCTGTTATTGCTCTGAGTCATACCTGCCTTCTCCATCAGCCAGCCCTCAAAAGCAGGTTGAAAGCCATCACCTCCTGAGCCTTGTAGCCCATACAGGCCCCACAGGAAGTCTCTGTCCCTCTGACTAGCAGCCGCATGGAAGTATGAGTGTGTTGTGGACTGAATTGTGCCCCCTCAAGTTTCTTACGTTGAAGTCCCAAACCCCAGAGTGACTGTATTTGGAGACAGGTCCTTTGTGGAGGTGATTAAGGTTAGAGGAGGTCCTAAAGGGTGGCGCCCTGATCCACCTGTCCTACAGGACAGGTGTCCTTATAGGAGGAGGAAGATGGAAAGAGAGATTTTTTTCCCTACCATGTGAGCACACAGCAGAACAGGGCCACCTGCAAGCCAGGAAGAGGCCTCACCAGGAACCAGATCTGCTGGTACCTTGAGCTGAGCTTCCAGCCTCCAGAGCTGTGAGAAATACAAATCTATTGTTGGGCCAGGTGCAGTGGCTCATGCCTGTAATCCCAGCACTTTGGGAGGCCAAGGCGGGTGAATCGCTTGAGTCCAGGAGTTTGAGACCAGCCTGGGCAACATAGCGAAACCCCATCTCTACAAGAAAATACAAAAATTAGCTGGGCATAGTGGCTCACACTTGTGGTCCCAGCTACAAGGGAGGCTGAAGTGGGAGGATGGCTTGAGCCTAGGAGGCTGAGCCTGCACTGCACTTCAGCCTGGGTGGCAGAGCAAGACCTTGTCTCAAAAAAAAAAAAAAAGTCTATTGTTTAAGGTCCCGTCTGTGGTATTGTCAGCCCAGGCTGACTAATACAGAGTGGAAACGATACAGCATGACCGGCAGGCCAGTGGGAGGACCGGCCAGCCAGATCCTGAAATGACTTGGGTAACACTTGCCTTCATTTTCTCTTAAGCTCTTCTGAAGCCTCTCCCCAGTGTTGTCTGGTTCAGAGGTTCCTGGGGTAACATCCCCTTGATGCCTTCTTTAGAGTGTGCTGCGCTTAGGAAGTGAGTGTCGTCAGGCTGGAGCGTTTCCGGGATCCAAACTCCTTTCCAGGAGGGTTTTGATTGTTTTTGCCTGGAAATGCATCTGATAAGAAAATAAAGTAGAGGAACCCAGGAAGTTTATGAAATCTCTTTCTCTCTACTAGGGAAAACTTGGGACAGTTTACATTGAAATTATTTACAGATGTAAAATGAAATCAACCTTTAGGGGGGAAACCATTTTCTTTGTTTTCTTCTTTCCCCTGTCAACTAGACACCGTTCCTTTTGACTTGTTTCATTAAATCCTTTAAAAACAAGAACTGCTTGTTAAAGAAACAGGTTTCCTTTGGGTTTCAAACGTTTAGTTATTAGAAAGCTTTTCTCTGCCTTGCCACCACTACATTTAAAATGTGGGGTTTTGAAACATTTTTGTGTCTCACGCTGAAATACCACTGCCTGAACCATTTCCCTACAAAGGAACCTTCTTTGAGAGGAGTGTGTCCAAGTTGTACATCTAATCGGTTTATCTTTAAGTCAAGAATATGTTGTTTTTACTCTAGTTACAGATTATAGTGGCTCACCCTTTGTTTAGAAGAATTACTAAAGAACTCTATTTTGACCACTTTTGAAATGTCTGCCTTTAACACAGCCAAAACATAGGTCAAAGCTCTTAAGGGTGTATTCTTTTATTTATTTTTTAGGGGCATTTAAAGAGGGCAGACATTGAAGGCCTGGGTTGTGCTGTTTACTCTCACTGGAATGTCAGTATTGATATCAGTTGTTTTAAGAGTGGCTAATCAGGATTAAGGATTGTGGGGAAAGATAAAATCCAAACTTCCCATTCTTATTCTGGAAGAACAAACATTGCTGAAGCCAAGTGAAGGTTTTCAGCATTAAGTCAGCCAGCTTGGAGGGAGGCTTTGGCTAAGGCAACTATTAGGGGACTCAGAGTTTTCTTTTTAGGGGGGCAGAAGATCTAGGGAAATCCACACAGCTCCCCAGTGGGAGTGTGATTGGAGACCCAGGCAGGGCTGGAGCTTTGTCCTTATGTTGTACTTCTCGGCAGCTCGCGGCGTCTCATAAACATGCGCCGCTGGCCTCCTGAGATTCTTGTGACGGAACCGCTGCTCCATGGTAGAGCTGGCCCGAGCACCCACTCCTCCCGCATCAATTTGCTGCCCAACTCCAACTCTGTATGCCGCACCACAGGGTCCTGGTGGAGGAGATGGGAGGCCACACGGGGTGTCACAGGTGGGGACAGGCGCTTCTCTAGGCTTAGCTGTTCTGGCTTTGTTGGCATTTGTGGCCGTGGGGCAGGTGGAGTTTGGGTGTGGTGTAACAGTGAATGTTTAAAAGCTTGTTCAATAATCACAGTAACAAAGCAGTTCATTGAACATTTTTTGGTATCAAGGCCCATGCTCAGCCTTTTGTGTGCATTAATTTTATTTAAGGCTGGGCACAGTGGCTCACACCTGTAATTTCAGCTCTTTGAGAGGCTGAAGCAGGAGGATAGCTTGAGACCAACCTGGGCAATATAGTGAGACCCCATCTTAAAAAACAATTACTCTAGTGTGGTGGTGTGCACCTGTACTCCCAGCCGCTTGGGAGGCTGAAAGGGGAGGGTCACTCGAGCCCAGAAGTTTGTGGTTGCAGTGAGCTATGATCATGCTATTGCACTCTAGCCTGGGCAACAGAGTGAGACTCTATCTCTAAAAATAAAAAATTTTATTTACTCTGCATCACACTCCTGTAAAGTGGGTAGGGATGCTATACTTCTGATGATGTCGTATACCAGTTCCCAGAAGGCTCGGAACTCAGACCCCACTTCCAGAAAGTAGAAGAGTTGCACACAGGAGTCAGGTTCGGCAGGATGTGAGCTCAGTTTGCAGAGCAGAGGTTGTTTTTCTCATTTTTCACATTGTCGGTTGGAACATGTTTGGGGAGAGGCAGGCAGCTAGGATATCCCGGGGCCTCATAAGGCACCACCTTGTATCTAGAGAGCCTTAGTCCCCAGGGATTTTACAGTTACTAAGCCATGAAGTTTTATCACTTGTCTATGAGGCAGACGAGAAAGGTGAGCCACTTGCCTGAGTTCTAACAGGGCTCACTGGTGGAGGAATTGGAGCACTCTGTATCCTGGGCTCAGGGTTCTGTCTAACAGTTGTGGCTCCCTTACTGTCCGCTCTTCAGAGGGTCTTTCATACTCCCGGCTTTTAGGCATGAGTCTTGGCATGAGGCCTGAATGCACCTAAAAAATGGAAGAGATGGGTGTTGGTAACTTGCAGCCAAACAACCTCCTAAGGGAAGCTGGCCACACGTTGATGGGATGCTGAGAAATGGAGAAGAAATGGGGTTGTTTTTCTTTTTCCAGCTTCAGATTCTCGAAGAAAATGTATTGGAAGAGTGCACTCTATTTCTGTTCCCTTGGAACATTGCTGATGCCGTTCAGGAAGTGAGACTGCTTGTGTGTTCAGTCAGTGTGACATCTCTGCCTGTCAGTGTGACATCTCTGCCTGCTGTTGGAAGGGTGCTGGCAGGCTCAGCGAGATATACGAGATGTGGGGAGTGGGAAGTGGCCAGCAATAATGGCTCCTTGCTTAACGGGTCCCCCACCAACTCATCCCAGGTTGTAACTTGCATCTGATATGCACAGTTCACACCAAAGCCATGTCATTATTCATCAGCGTGCTTGTTTATGTTTTGTTTTTATTTTTTGTGTCTTTATAAAACCAACTTCTGGTTTCAACCACAGACCGTTCTTTTTCTTCCCTTGATATGTTTCCTCTTTTTTTTTGGTCTATTTCAGGCCTTCTCTCTGTCTGAATTAAAGAATGCATTGAGACTGGTATAAGTAGACTGTATTGATTTGACTGTAGAGATTTCGTTTGTGTCGATGTTGGCATCTCTGAAGGGCCCGTTTCAAGTCTCCTTTTCAAAGATCATTAGCAAACGTATTCTCAAAGCTTAACCCCTGAGTGGCTGCCCACATGTGTGGCTCAGTTTCCCCATCTGTAACTCTGGGTTATGGTTTGGGCAAAAGCACAATGATGCTAAATGAGTTGTGTGATTTGCTTTCTTTACTCTTTAGTCTTTTCTTTCTGCCATCATCCTGGGAATGCAGTGATGACCATGAGGATCGTCTTTGTTGTCAAGAAACTGTAGTCTTCCCGGAGAGGCAGACAAGGAAACAGGCAATTACGTAGCCTAGTAAGGATAACCTAACCACCTCTAGACCATTTACAACAGAGCTCTGTTCTTTCTATTTTAGACCTGTTTGTGAGTTTCTGTTATTTTCTTAGTAGACTGGCCCTTTTATCATTATGAAATGCACTTCTTGTCAGTGGTAATGCTTCTTGTTTTACAATATCAGTAGAGCTGCACCATCTTTCTTTGGTTTCATGTTTTTGCATGGTATACATTTTCCCATGCTTTCACTTTCAAACTTTTTATGTCCTTATATTTA
Organism: Homo sapiens; assembly: GCF_000001405.40. Classification (NCBI taxonomy): domain Eukaryota; kingdom Metazoa; phylum Chordata; class Mammalia; order Primates; family Hominidae; genus Homo; species Homo sapiens. The sequence continues at coordinate 230,213,526 of NC_000001.11, forward strand.
AAGTGTATCTTCTGTAAGTAGCCTATAGTTGGATTTTGGACTTTCATCTGCTGTGACAATCTTTATCTTTTATATGGTGTATTTAGTTCTTTTACATTTAATGTAAGTACTAGTTTATTGGGGTTTAACACCAACATCTCACTGGTTGTGTTCTCTTAGTTCCACCTGCTTTGTGTTTCTTTTTCCCTTGCATCCTCCTACGTTTTTTCTTCTCTGTTGGTTTGCTAAATTCTTGACTAGTAAGTCCACATGTAGAGCCTAATGTAAATGAATAATTTTATTACTTCTTAGACAATGCACAGACCTTCTAATAATTTACCTTCCACTTACCTTCAGCCCTTTGTGCTCTTGTTGTCATTTAGCTTAATTCTTTCTTTATAAACTCTATAGGATATCTTTTATTGTTTTATGCAGTAAATATCCTTTTGATTTATTCACATATTTATATTCCCATTGCTCCTCATTTCTTATATTTCTATTTTTCTACCTAAGACCATATTCCTTCTGTATTTCATTAGTATTTCTATTAGTCCCAGTATGTTGGCAATGAATTGTATCCTTTTGTTTGTCTGAAAACATCTTAACTTTACTTTTTTTTTTTTTTGAGACGGAGTCTCGCTCATGTTGCCCAGGCTGGAGTGCAGTGGTGTGATCTAAGCTCACTGCAACCTCCGCCTCCCCAGTTCAAGTGATTCTCCTGCCTCAGCTTCCCAAGTAACTGGGATTACAGGCACCCACCACCATACCTGGCCAATTTTGTATTTTTAGTAGAGACTAGGCTTCACCATGTTGGCCAGGCCGGTCTTGAACTCCTGACCTCAAGCCATCTGCCCACCCCAGCCTCCCAAAGTGCTGGGATTACAGGTGTGAGCCACCACGCCCGGCTTACTTTTGTTTTTGAAGAGTCTTTTCACTGACTGTGAAATTCTGGGTTGACAGTGACTGTCAGCACCTTTACGTTGTCTTTCAGTTGTCTTCTGTTTTTTGTTGTTTCTGGCGAAATGTCTACCGTTAGTCTTGTTCTTTTTGAAGACATTTGACTTTTCCTTCCAGCTGCCTTTTCAGATATTTCTTTTTTTCAGCAATTTTGCCATAATATGCCTAGCAGTTGTTTTCCTTGTGCTGAACCTGTTTGGGATTTGTGGAATTTCCTGACTCTTGAGCTTCATGCCTTGTCAGTTTTGCCATGCTGCAGTTCTGTCTCCTCTTCCTCTGAGACCCTAATTTCATCTTTGTTAGATAATTCTGCGTTTCCTCTGTCCCTCATAAGCTCTTTTCTGTACTTTTTATTCTTTTTGATTCCCTGTGTCTCAGTCTGGATATATTTCTGTTGGCCTGCTTCCTGTTCATTGATCCTTTCCTCTGCTCTGTCTAGTCTGCTTTTAAATCCACTGCTGAATTCTTCATTTCAGTGATTGTGTTTTGTTGTGTATGAATAAATACCGAGATATTTCAGGGCTCTCACTGACTTTTTCCTCCAAAGAGGATTTAGTTTTGTTCTCTGGCAGGCAGTTAAAATAGGGCAGGTCACCTTAATCAAGTCTGGAATTGAGCTGGTATAAAGCTGGGTTTCGGTCTTTTGTGAGAGAGCTGGTGAGTTTCCAGTTCTCTTTTGCCACTAGGAAGTAGCCCTGTGGGATTCGACCTGGAAGTCTGGGATATGTATCAGAGCCCAGTTTCCTCAGCAAGCCCTGAAGTCCATTTCTGGCCTCCACAGCTCCACAGCACCTCCAGAAGCTTTCACTTGGCTCTGCACCTACAAGACCATCGCTTCTGCTCGGCTCAGTCGGCCGTTTGGCTCTATGCCGTTTGAGGGGAAGAGGATCAGAGAATGTTGGCCTTCCTCTCTAGGTGCTTCTCCTTTCTGGAAACCTGACCTCACACCTGGCTGCTTTGCTAGCTCTCTAGTGCCTTCAAATAGATTCTTCAGTGTATTTCATCCCGAATTTCTGGTTGCTTTTAGTGAGTAGGTTGGTCTACAGCAAGGAACTTTACTGTCACTGGAAGCAGGAAAAACACCTGAGTGTTTTATTTGGAATTCAAATCCACTCTGAATTTGGCAGTTTATAAATTTTGCCCTGAGCAATAATGTCTATCTCGAAGGAGAGTAAATGGAAATACAGGCTTGAAGTTGGGATGTGTTGCTTTTATTAATAGCTCAACCAGCTGTTAGCTCCCAGACTGAGGTTAAAATAATCTCTGTAAACCCTGGGTTTCTTATCTGTAAAACAATAATCATGCTTGCCTGGCCTGTCTTACAGCATTTTTATTAGGCTCAGATGTACACATAAACTACATACATTAATTACACAAATTCAGGACATTAATATAGTGACTAGTGGCTTGTATATATATCAGCTTTAAGTAAAGAATGAACTGTTATTTTGTTACACTTTGCTCTCAAAATGTGTGTGACATGGCTGGCAGACTTTCAGCTTCCAGTATGTGAATGCCTCTGTCACACTGAGATGGTATTGGATTGTTTTATCATAGAACCAAAAACAGTTGTGGAAATAGCTGTGAAGCAGTGATCCTACCTATTTCAGAAAGAAATTAGACCAGGAAAAATGGAGTCAACAGAGTTTTGCTTGATAAATGAGATCAATCTTCGAGTCCTAACAAACTGTCCTACTTCAACTATCCATTTAAAACCCATCACTTTGCCCCCCGTCGTGGAACCATGAAACTGAAAGAACAACTTTCTTTTTCAGTGGAAGGGTTTTGTATATTTTAGGAAACAGTCAAAATACTGTAAAATTTATTTTAACTTTTTTTGTCATTTAGGCTACGTATTTCACTTGAATATGGTTTCGGAGATTACTTGTGATGTTTCTAATGAACTTAAAAGAAGCAGCATTGTCAGTTTATGGTACATTCATTATTAAGTCAAAACACCGATCTGTTCACTGGTGTAACTGACAATTCACATATACTTTGGAGTTGTCTCACCCCGTTGCCCAAGCTGGAGTACAGAGATGTGATCATAGCTCACCGTAACAAACTCCTGGGCTCAAGCCATCCCCCTGAGTAGCTAAGACTACAGGTGTGCGCCACTGTACTCAGCTGATTTAAAAAATTGTTTAGTAGAGATGGGGTGTTGCTATGTTGCCCACACTGGCCTCAAACCCCTGACCTCAAGTGATCCTCTTGCCTTTACCTCCCAAAGTGCTGGGTTTACAGGCATGAGCCACCATGCCTGGCCTGTACTCTGGAGTTGTTAAATGTTAATGGTAGAACCTATGAGGGCCCATAATCTCCACTGCCATCTGTAAAATTTAAAGTTCAGACTTTTATAGTAACGACTATCTTAACTATATTGAATAAGCCATGATTTTCTTCATCTGACAATAATGTGAGAAAATCCACACCTCTTTGGAAATTCAAGTTATTTAAAAAAGGAAATATCCCAATAGGAATATTGTACTTGGATTTAAAGTTTTATATTCACTGAAGATTTATTTTTATTCTTGGATTTATGCATTTATTTAGCAAAGATTTGAGTGCTAACTACATGACAGGTGTTTTTCTGGTCACTGGGGAAACAGCTGTGAACAAAACATTAAAAAAAAACTCTGCCGTCATAGAGCTCACATTAAGAGGATGGGGGAGAAAACAATAAAATAAATCATTAATTATGTGGTTTTTAAAAAGCATGTTAAATACAGAAGAGAAAAAAAAAGCGGTGGAGGTTAGGAGTGTGAAAGAGTCAAGGGTTTTAGTACTAAACAGGTGATCAGGGAAGATCTCACTGACAGGAAGGTGTTTAGGCAAAGACCTGAGGGAAGGGACGAGGGAGTGTGCGTTTGAATAACTGGGAAGAGAGTTCTCATCAGGGGAGGTGGCAAGGGCAAAGGCCCCAAAGAGGTAGTGTGCCAGGCCTATCTAAAGGACAGCAGGAAGCCAGAGTCGCTAGGCAGGTGGCCATGAGGAAGAGTAGAAAGAGGTGAGGTCTGAGAGGAGTCAAGGCACCAAGCCCTAGGAGCCTGGAGGCGCATGGTAAGGGCATTGGCTTTGTCTCTGTCATAGTCCGTTTTGTGCTGCTATAACAAAATACCTGAGACTGGGTAACTTACAAAGAACAGAAGTTTACTTCTTATAGTATGGAGGTTGGGAAGTCCAAGATCTTTAAGCTGGCAGGGCTCACATTGTCTGGTGAGAATCTGGTTTCTGCTTTCAAGATGGCGCCAAGAACAGTGGATCTTCCAGAGGGGACAAATGCTGTATCCTCACATGGCAGAAGGCAGAAAGGCAAAAAAGGGACAAACTCCCTTCATTAAGCCCTTTTAAAGGGTCTTCATTCCTTTCACAAAGGAAAAGCCCTCATTATCTAATCACCTCTTAAAGGTTCTGTCACCACTACATTGGCTGTTAAGTTGCAACACCTGAATTTTGGAAGAGACTCATTCAAACTGTAGCAGCCATTGAGTGAGATGGAAGCCATTGTAGGTTTGGGAGCAGAGGAACAGCATGACCTGAATTAGGCCTCTAAAGGGTCAGTTTTTTAAAAGGTTGCTGTGATAAGACCAGGTTTACTGGGGGTGGGGTGGGAAATACAAGGCCAGAAGCAGAGAAACCTGTTGCCGTGATCCAGCCAAGATGACAGTGGCTAAGAACAGGGGACTAACAATGGAGGTGGTGAGAGGTGGTTGGATTCTGGATGCCTTTGGAAGGTAGAGATGACAAGATATGCTGAATCGGATGTGGAATGTGAAGAAGAGAGGGCTGAAGGATGCCACTGAGTTTCTTAACCAAGCAACTTGAAGAATGGACTTGTCCTTTGCTGAGCAGGGAGCAGTACAACCTCCTGGTTAAGGTGTGGATGCTGGCACCAGGTCTCCCATGTTGGAATCCCAGTTATCCCTTTAGCAGCTGCACGATCTTGGCGTGTCAGTTAGCTCCTTCGTGATATAAGTTAAGGGTGATGATAATACTCATCTTATGGGCTGCCGTGTGAGGACTAAATGGGTTAACACCTGTAAGTGACTTAGCACAGTGGCTGGCACATAGTCAGTACTAAACGAATACTAGCTGCTATTCAGGAAGCATTGCTGGAAAGATTAGGAGGGAAGTTTTCATCCAAGTGGAACTGTCCAGTAGGTGGATGAAGATATACAAAAATCTGGAATTCAGGAGGCAAGCCTGGGGAGAAGTTACACAGTTGAGATTGTCAATGTTTATGGATGGTTTTAAAATCACTTTGTTATCTATCCCTGAATGTGTATTTTTAAATGTGGAGGTATTTCTGGTTACCAAAATAGGCTTAAAGCAGGAGTCCCCAACCCCTAAGCCGTGGACCAGTGGTGACACATGGCCTGTTAGGAACCAGGCCACGCAGCAGGACGTGAGCAGTGGATGAGCAAACATTACCGCCTGAGCTCCGCCTCCTGTCAGATCAGCATGGGCATTAGATTCTCATAGGAGCACGAACCCTATTGTGAACTGCACATGCAAGGGATCTGGGTTGTGTGCTCCTTATTAGAATCTAATGCCTGATGATCTGAGGTGGAACAGTTTCATCCCAAACCATCTCCCCTCTCCACCATCTGTAGAAAAATTGTCTTCCATGAAACTGTTCCTTGGTGCCAAAAAGGTTGGGGACCGCTGGCTTAAGGGACACTGGGTTTGTTATCTGTTGCCTCTTCTTTATGATGATGATTGAATTTCCTCTGGCATCTTTGCCATGGCCCTTTAAACCAAATCTTTTTTATTCTTGGTAATTCTTTAAGTGCAAAGGCCAAGGTACTTGTTCTTGATATTCACATATAAGTGTCACCTGTTGAAGTTGGAAAATTCCCCGTATGTTGCTCTGGGCTAGAATAAAGCAATGCCCTGGTTGCCTAATTCTGCTTGGCCAACGTGTACTGGCGCGTGGGACCATGAGCTGCCCAAGTGGCCTTGGTGGCTTTCTGTTCTGGCATCCCTCTCAAATTAACCCCTTCCTCTCATTGCCACTCTTGGTCCAGTCCCTTGTCCTCCCTTCTGAGTCACTGGACCTGCCTACTCAGATCTCTCAGTACCTCTCCCAGGCTTGTATTCTGCATGCCCCTCCCACACAAGAACTAACCTATGGTGAGGACACCTGGATCCCCCTCCTGGGCCCTGCATAGATGGCCTGCAGTAGCCGGTCCTGCCTCCGCCACCCACTTACCTTTCTTGAGACTTCTGACGTGGATGCATTCCAGATGTGGGGGCATTCTTTGCAAAGTGCTTGTGGCTGTCTTCATTCATGGTATTCTCCACTGCCCTTCTAAACCTTTCTAAATGGGTGTGTCCCTTAAAACACAATTTGCCTAGATTCTTCCAAAGAACTGCTTCTGACTGGCCCCCTGCCATGGGATTGCTGCCCTTGCTTGAGACCTTGCCACCCCCAACCAGAGCCTCTGTGCCTGGGCTTTCTTGTTTTGTAGCTGTGCATGATTTCTCCAGGTATTTCGTAAGTTGCTTTGGGACAGAGACTATCTGTAATTAGACAGTTCTCTAATTCCTCACTTAAATTCTTAGGGAATTCAGATTGTTAAAAAAATATCTAGAGAGCTATTAATGACATATACACAATTTGTGAAATAATGTTTTTAATCTTGAGACAGTACCTTGTACTCAAACACACTAATGTTTTTGCAGCAGAACATGAATATGCATACCAAGTGGGATAAATCAGGAGAACAGTCATCAGGTCAGGTTTTACTGCCACATAATTCAGATCATGGCAGGCTTTGCCACCAAATATGATACAGATTTTTTTCCAAGGTGTTTTTGTTTTTTTTTTTAATGTTGGAATCAAAGATTAGGAATTATGGACCCTCGCTAGGTAAATAAAGAAGAATACCATTGATTCTGCTGCCACATGATAAACAGCCCACTCCGGAGGCACCAGAGCCTACTTTTGGGTTGCTATGCTGTAGATGAGGGGAGCAGGGCATAAAGGGAGTTGAAACTCCCGGGATGGTCTTCAGCTTGATATCCTGCAGGGCCTCTGGTGCACAGGTTGCCCTTGAGATTGGTTAGCACCCAGCGTAGCTCCTGGTAGGCTTTGCCACTCCCTCACTGTCACCACGTGCTGGGTGGGCTGAACTAGATCTCTCTCGGTAGCTGCTTTTATGGAATCACTCAGTTAACCCAGTTGACTGTAGAATCCTGTCTGCAAAGAGGCATCCCCTGGAGGCCAGCGCATGGTGGTGCCATCAAACGAAGGTACTTTTGTTAGGGTTGGTCCATTCTTGGGCTTAATCAGACCCGCCCTAAGGAAATCATGGTATGATGTGACGGTGATGCTAATGATCTGCCTTCTATTGTTGGCAAACCTTATCTTGGCCAAATATTAGCTAAAATCTCTGAATTGGTCTGTGTTTCACCTAGATACTAATGGTCTACGCAGTGGGCTGTTAGCAAGCTTGTATCATGAACTCCCCAAGTTCTCCTTTCTTTAAATACACCGAATTACTCAAAACTGGTTTTTTCTTTAAAGAAAAAGCTTTTTAAAAGTAGATACGTGTTTGTTGCACACAGGAAGAAAAGTCTGAAAGCTTCACATTGTCTCTGGTGAACATCCTTCCTAATTTGTCTCATACCCTCTGATGTTCGATGTATGTCATTTTCTATAAATACAATGACAGTAAAATGACACTGTATTTGCTGTTTGCCTGCCTACTTTTTTTTCATTCAGTAATACATAGGAAATATTTTCTAGGACTGTTAAATATATAACTTTCCCTTATAAAAGCTGTATATATCCCATTTTATGTTTATTTAGCTAGCTCTCTGGTAATGGACTGCTAGATTCTTTTCCTTTTTAATGCTAACGTTGGGATGAATATTTTCGAATAACCTCCTTGCTTACTCATTTAAAAGGAGATGCTATTTGAGATGACAGTGTGTTATTTGGTTCTGAAAATGTACCAGAATTTACTCAATATATTGCTGAGTTTGGCTACTGCTTTATTTTAGGTTTTGAATGAAGATTCATAGCTGAAAGTGTCTGTGGCCAGCCAGCCTGCCTGCCTTCTTTTCCTCCTCTCTCCCGTCTTCCTTCCTTCATCTAGCTTTGGCTTCAAGATTATGTTAACTTTGTAAAATGAATTTAGAACAAATTCCTAAATTTCTTTAGATGCTTCAGAAAAACTGATTTGTAAAGGAGTTATTTGTTTCTTGGAGCTCACCTTTCAAAGTCATCTAAACTTAGAGCTATTTTTATTTTCATTACAGTAATCCTTTGATAACCTTTTAAAATTCTTCCATGAATATTGACATGTGTTCAGTTTTTCTATGCTTTACTTGAATTAATTTGATTTATATCTTCCCAGAAGAATAAATTTCCCTTGGATTTTCAAATTTATTGGCATAGTGTTATATGTATATGCACTTAAATCTTTATTAATTATAAACTTTTCATTTTTTTCTTCTTTAAAAATGCCAGTGATGTGTCTCTGGTTTCTCCTCCTTACTTCTGTCTTCTTTTCATCCTTGACATCAAGTGCTGGGATTTTATATACATTTCACTGCTTTTCTCTTTTTTTTTTTTTGAGACAGAGTCTTGCTCTGTCACCCAGGCTGGAGTGCAGTGGTGCGATCTCAGCTCACTGCAAGCTCTGCCTGCCGGGTTCACGCCATTCTCCTGTCTCAGCCTCCTGAGTAGCTGGGACTACAGGCGTCCACCACCACGCCCGGCTAATTTTTTGTATTTTTAGTAGAGACGGGGTTTCACCATGTTAGCCAGAATGGTCTCGATCTCCTGACCTCGTGATCCGCCCGCCTCGGCCTCCCTGCTTTTCTCTTTAATGCATTCATGTCTGCCTGTTGCCTCTGCTTTCCTCTGCACTCCCCCTGCCCCATGAGAGTTGAATGTTGAATGTTTACTTTATGTCTACTTAATTGGTTTCTGAGTGCAGCTTTGGCTGAGTCTCATAATACGAAATATAGTGTGATAATTTTGGTTATTTTTAAACCTACTTGTAAATGACCGCTATTATTATTTCTCACCACTCTGGAATTCTGTTTTTGGTTTCTTTTTTGGTACGTTGCTTATTTAGGAAAGAGTTTCAAAATCGTAAGAAACTGATTTTTTTTTCTTTTTATCTTTTTAAACTTAGGTCATTGGAGATTTTTTTCTCCTGACTTTATTGCTGTGGAGTCAGACATTACAACTTTATAATTTTACTATTTTGCATATATGGAGGGTTTTACTTTGGGCATGAGATGTAGCTACCTTTAATTGAGATTTTCGTTCCAGGTGCTATGCTAAGCAATTTACACACATTACTCATTTAATTCTCACAGCAACCCTATGAGGCATAGGTACTGTTGTTATTGTTACTAAGATTTGATAGTTAGAGAAACAGAACTTGCCCCATTAACCAGGCTGTGGTGAGGTCTAAACAACAGCCTGCCCCCAGAGGCTGCAATCTTTACTTCTCATTTCTATGAATATTTGATGGGTATTTTTTAAAAGCTAGTAACATCTATACTCATTTCCAAATTCAAATATACATGTTCAACCAACCTGATCGATTACATTCAAAACCTTTGTTATTGATAAAAGCATTTGAAACTCAACATTACAGTGCTAGGAGTTTCTGCTTATTTCTAAGCATGAGGGGCTTAGAAGATATATATTCATGGATTATACCCTTATTGACATAAAATTACCCCACTTTATTTGTTTTTCTTTTCTTTTTTTTTTTTTTTAATAGAGATGGGCTCTCACTGTGTTGCCCAGGCTGTCCTTGAACAAGTTTTCCTTTTTTGCCATACATTTTGCTTTGCATAAATGTTAATCTCCTACTTTATTTCACTTACTCTTGATACATTTTTGTATCTTACTGATTTTTTTTCTTTTTTGGATGCCATTTTGTCTTAGGTTTATCTTTTGTAACACATATATTTTGATTTTTAAGCCAACCTGATGGTCTAAAGTTTAATAGACTCTTAGCCATTTTTTTTTTAATTTTATTCATTTACTTTTTTTGAGATGGAGTCTTACTCTGTCACCCAGGCTGGAGTACAGTGGTGTGATCTCGGCTTACTGCAGCCTCCGCCTCCCAGGTTCAAGCGATTCTCTCCTGCCTCAGCCTCCCGAGTAGCTGGGACTACAGGCACCCGCCATCACACCGGGTAAATTTTTGTATTTTTAGTAGAGACAGGGTTTCGCCATATTGGCCAGGCTGGTCTTGAACTCCTGACCTCAGGTGATCCTCCTGCCTCGGCCTCCCAAAGTGCTGGGATTGTAGGCGTGAGCCACTGTGCCTAGCCGAAAAGTTCGTCTTTTTAACCACAGGCCAAAACAGAGCAATTCAGTGTATCTGAAAAGAGTGGTGTCCTAAAATGTCACCCTCCACAGAACTTAAGCTTTTCTCCTGTCCACTTGGGACAATCAGAACTGCTCAGGGGTCCCACAGACTCCATTATCTGGCCCAGCTTTTGTGGGGAGAACTGCAAGAGTAGGGTAGGAAAGAAAACCAACTGCCTGAATAACCTCTAAGAAGGGTGCTCTAAAGGATTCACCACTTTGAGACAGGCAGAGCAGATAAAAATGAAAGCACATCTCTTCATGGAACAATGGAAGTAAAAACTAAACCCTCAGCTTGGAAACCAGAACTCACGTATCCAAGAGGACGATGGTGGGCACCAGGAGGCAGAGGGAGTTACTGGAGTTACTCTAGCAGGACCAAGGGTGCCACTTGTCCCAGGGGAGTAGCAAGAGGGAAGAAATGGAATGTGCAGTGTTCACATTGTCTGATGAGCAGTGTGAGCTTCCATCCAGAAAAGGCAGCTTGTCCCCTGGCATCGGGAGGAATGAAAGTTTAAAGGACAATAATAATTTAGTCTCTCTGAAATGACTCTAGCCTTAAATGGTGAGTGGGACCTGGCAGCTGAAGTGCAGCCCTCGGAGGGCATGACGAGAGAGTTCAGACGGCTTCATCCAGGGCTGTTATTTTCTCAACTTTCAATAGCTCTTGACTCTTGAAAAGTTTTCAGCTAAAATGTAGTGTCTGTAAAACTGGAGGCACTAAAGGGCAAATGGTGCTCTTTGAATGAAAAAACATTTTTATTCCATCAAACAGTGGCTTGCTGAAAGCTTCAAGGGGAAACCTAATGTTTTTCCCCTTCTGTTGGAGAATACTCACGTATTCTGGGCAGCATTTTCTGTGGCCGGTGCCGAAGCGTGGAGTGTTTGGTGAGCGAAGAGTGTGTTTTTGGATTCTCCGCTTGGCCTGAGTGTGTGTGCATGTTTTTTGCCTCTGGAACCCTTGGCTTTTCAATGAGATTAGAGGACTTCAAAGGGAGTACAGTAAATACGATAGGCTTGAGTTTCCTGTGTCACAGGGAGGATAAACATTTTGTTTTAGAACATGCTTCCGACTCCTATACGTTGCAGAATGCAGAAGCCTGCGGTATTCAAGAAAGCTATTTTAGACGAATAATTTCGAAGTGAGACAAACCTAAAGTTATTAATTGAGCTAATTCAAATCTCCTGTTGACCAGATTTTTAAGAAGCTTGATTTCACAGAGGTCCTGCAGAGGTTTTTTAATGTCTTAGGATTTGGTTCTGTTTAGTTTTGAAAGACCTCTATAGAAATAAACTCTGTAGCTATTAGGACTAATCAGAAATTAGTGGATTTGGTGGAATATTATGCCATTATGACTGTTTGGAGGATTATTAAGGGTATGTTTTAATTAAATGAACATTATACAACAGCTAATGAACTTTTTTCCATTTTCCTTTTTTTGGCTTCCATTTCCAGTTTACATTCTATCCAGTAGCCTGCCTAGACTTTCTGTAGACACCATAGCAACACATCTTGAAAATGTGAAGCTGAACATCTTGTTTGGGATGGGCCCTAGTGGAAGTGCCCTGAGGTTGAGAGATGCATCCGCAGCCCAGTTTGGGGTTGGACTGAGGAGGGCCTGTTTCCCGTGGCCCCTTCTGCCTTGTGGTGGATCCAGTCTCCAGCTTGGGCTAGATCTTTTCAGCCTGGTCATGTTGGGCCTTATTCCCAGTGGCTTAGGCTTGACTCTCTCTGTGTTAGGCTTCATAGTCATGGTAGACTTTGAGGAACACAGCGTGGGCTGGGCCACTTCATGTATGGTGACCACAGGGGGTCAGATTGTGGTAGAGAGGAGGAATGGGAAATCAAAATCTGGAGGAGGCAGAGTTTTTTTGTTTTTTTTTTTTTAACCTCTGTGCTATATGGTCCATACCAGAGTTCCAGGTCTAAATTCAAGTTATCCAGATGAGTCTAATTATGGCTCCACATTAGAGAACTGTTTCACTAATAACACCTCTCACTTTTCTGTGTGTTTCTTAAAATGAAGTCTAAGAGCAACCTGTATAAGCCTTGCCTTCAGGGGCCTTTTCGAATTCAGATTCCCAGGTATCACCCAGACCTACTTATTCAGAATGGGATGGGAGAAGCAGTCAGGGCCTAGGCATGTTCATTTTCATAAGCTCCATGAATGAGTCTTATGCTCACTAAACTGTCAGAGCTTTGTGATAATCAGAAGTCTGTGGCCTTAAAGCAACTGCCCTTACCGCAGAAGCAAATCAGAGTCCTGAATGAGGAGCATGCGCCCAGCCTGCGGTTGGCTCTAGCCTGGCTGGAGCCCCACCTTCACAGCAGAGGCATATATGGACATTCTGTGTCCATTCTGTGTCCATGGGCAGCTGCATCAGGCTGCCAGGATGGTCAGTGAAACAACAGACCTTCCTGCCCTTTTCTTTCCCTTGAAATGGGAATGGCGTAAGCATTTTCTGTGGATGAGGGCAAGGAAACAGAAGGCATTCACCGCCTCTATTGCATCACCAGCTGTGTCCAGAGCCTTGATTCCAGCATCCTGAGGTGCTAACACCCTCCCCCTGCCACCGAATATCTGTATATGAATGGAGAAATGGGCTAGCAAGCAACAGACTGTATTTTAATATGTTCCTTTGATTTTTCAAACTTCTGGCCCTGCTGGCTAATTTAACGCCCCCACAGGCTCTCTCGGCTCATCTCACCTGGCTGATGGGTGCACATGGAGACTCGCAGACTTTCAGGTGCTGTGTTGGCTGGAGAAGGAAAGGTCCACGTGGCTGCAGGGCTCCCTGGGCTGCTCCATCTTTCCGAACACATGCGGAGGCAGGTGCCTTGACCTGGCTCAGAGGCAGGGGCCTCGCCACTCTCTCCCAAAGTTAGGGGAGCCAGTCATCGCACCCGCGGACATTTCTCCCCCTCCCCATTTCACTCACCCATCTCATGGTTGAGAAAACTGCCTGTGTTTCTCCAGCTGTAGAATTTGCTTGGATTTTTAACCATTTTTCCTTATGTAGGGTAGCTGAAATCAATCACTCTGTGACTGAAGAAGGTGGAAAAAACTGCAGGGTGTAAACCTAAAGAAAGCAGAAGGAAGGAAATAAGGAAGGTAAAAGAAGAAATTAATGAACTAAAAATCCAGTGGAGAGTATATATAAAGCTTCATCTTTAAAAAATATAAATCTCTAAAAATGCTGATTAACAAAAATAGAGAAGAAACATTAATATTAGGTGTAAAAAAGCAGATATAACTAAGATCATAAGAAAATTAAAAGTATACTTTTATGTAAATAAATTTGAAACTTACATGAAATTGATAATTTTCTAGGGATATTTAAGTTACCAAAGTCTCTTAAGAAATAAAAAAATGAATAAGTGCAAACCATCAAAAGAAATTTTCAGCAATAAAAAATTTGCCTTCCCAAAATTTCACAAAGCTCAAATGGGTTTGCGTAAAACCCAGACTGTTTCAGAGAATAGAAAAGGAGGAAAGCTACCCTATTTCCTTCAGTAGTATCTAGCTATGAAACCAGAAAAAGAAAGTATAAGAACAGCAAATTGTTCAATTTATGGTTATAGACTCAGAAAATCCTAAACCAAATACTAGCAAATCTAATACAGCTATATATATATATGCTATATAATACAGCTATATATATATATGCTATATAATATAGCTATATATGCTATATAATACAGCTATATATGCTATATAATACAGCTATATATATATATGCTATATAATACAGCCATATATATATATATACAAGAAGAGTTTGTTTTAGGAATGTAAAAATGATTGAATATCAGAAAATAATGTAATATATCTTCTCAGTGAATTAAAGGAGAATAGCTGTAGGTCATATTAATGGATGCAGGAGGGAAAGCAGTGAAATTCAGCACTTGTGAGGGAGTTTCCTTCACCTGATGAAAGGCATCTGTAAAACATCTATGGCAAACACAAAGCTTAATGATAAAAATCTGCTTGTGTTCAATTTAAAGATAGGATCAAGGCAAGGTTGTTTTTTACCACTTTTAAAAATTGTATATTGTGTTGCAGGCCATAATCACTGCCATCTTAAGAATTGCAAGATGTGTAACGAATGGAAAGACAGGGACAGAATGTAGATGTATTGATTTGTGGAAAATCTAAGAGAACCTGCAAACTGACTATCAGAACAAATAAGAGAGCACAGTGAGGTGTTGAATACAGAGTCCACATACAAAAACCGGTATCAGTAACGGCCAATTCAAAAATGTAATAGGAAAAGAGACTCCTTTCACTGTAGCAAGCAGAACTGTCAGATATGGAGGAATAAATGCAACCAAAGATGTGCAAGACTTTCATGGAGAAAATTGTAAAACATAACTGAAGGATATTTTAAAATATCCAGTATTGTAGAAATATTAATTTCCTTCAAATTAACTCATAAATTCAGTGCAGTGTCATGCAGGGTTTTTTCATGGAACTTGAAGAGCTGATTCTTAAATTCATCAGGAAAAGCAAATGGTCACAAATATCCACTGGCATCTTGAAGATCTTCGCCTAGTAGGGGCCATGAAGAGTTACTGCTGAGCCACATTCATTAAGGCAGCATGGTACAGGTGCGGGGTTACACACATAGATGACCAGAACAGAAACGGATGTAGACATAAATAAGTGTTTGGCGTGACAGCAGTGGCGTTACTCATCAGTGATGAAATAATGAACTATTAAATCATGCTGGGGACAATGGATTATCTACACAGAAAAAAAAAGAGATTATGGATCTCCTTCATCTATATATGAAGGATAGCATGGAACTTGTCTACATCCATTTCTGTTCTGGTCATCTGTGTGTGTAACCCTGCACCCATACCACGCTGCTTTAATCACTGTGACTCTGCAGTAACGCTTCATGGCTCCTCGGGCATGTTGCCCTACTATGTGTTGTTCTTCAAGACTCCAGTGGATATTTGTGACCATTTGATTTTCCTGATGAATTTAAGAATAAGCTCTTCAAGTTCCATGAAAAAACCCTGCGTGACACTTCACTGAATTTATGGATTAGTTTGAAGAAAACTAATATTTCTATAATACTGGGCACTTTTTAATGTCCTTCACTTATGTTTTGTAATTTTCTCCATGATATACATGGATATACATAATCCTTCAATATTTATGAAGGATATATAACCTGTTATAACCTGTTAAAAGCATTTGTAAAAGTTTAAACATTTGAAATAAAATTCACAATATATTAATGACCTTCGGTTAAGAAAGCTTTTCCTGAACATTGTTACCCCAGGGTCACAGTTTGAAAACTCAAAATTAAAACGTAGGTTTGACAAAAAGCATCATAAACAAAATTAAAGCATCTGCCACAGAGATTTTTGCAATGCTTCTGGCTGACAAAGGATAATGTCCAGAGCATATAAATTCCTACAGCCAAATAGTAGGTAAAACCTAATCAAAAAATGGACAAAGAACATGAATAAACAGTTAACAGCAGAAACCATCCAGTCAGCTCCTAAGCATATAAGATGATATGTGGCCTCTCTAGTAATCAGGTACATGAAAGTTAAAATGATGACTACTTCATACCAATCTGGTTGGCAAAATTTTAAAACATGGTGATACCTAGGGATGGTGAGAATACAGAGCAGGATGATCTCATGCAGGTCCGGGCAGGAGTGACACTAGGTCCAGCCACTTGAGATTAAGTTGGCTATGTCAGGTCAAGTTGAAGAGGTTCATAATGTATGACCAGTAGTCCTACTTGTGGGTAAATAATGCAGAGAAACTTTCTCTGCTGTGTAAAAAGACAGTGTCCACTGCAGCGTTGTTTCTAATGGAGAGAATTGATAATCAGCAGAAAAGGGATGACGTGTGGTGTGTTCCTCCCTACAATGGAAAGCAGTGTAGCAGTGAGGGTGAATGAAACAGAGCTGTGTGTGTCAGAACAGATGCACCTCCCAAAAAGTGAAAACACCAAGTCACAGCACAGTGCCATCCCTGCAAACTTCGAATAGGTGCAGAAAAATGCTTGGTATAATTTATGAATACATACATGGGTAGTTTATTTAAAATACACATAGTAACAATGAAGCACCAAATTCAAGATAGTGATTGCCCCTGGGGAAGATGAGGATTGAGGTAAGGGCTGTAATTATTCCCTGTCATCCTGTCATGTGTCATTTTATTTAAAATTTTTTTAATCAAAGGCCAGTA
Organism: Homo sapiens; assembly: GCF_000001405.40. Classification (NCBI taxonomy): domain Eukaryota; kingdom Metazoa; phylum Chordata; class Mammalia; order Primates; family Hominidae; genus Homo; species Homo sapiens. Next base: position 230,230,023 of record NC_000001.11, read on the forward strand.
TTGCAAGATATTAAGACTTGGCAAGCAGAGTGGTACATGGATGCTTCTATAATATCTCTAAACTTTATGCGTGAAATATTTCACTCACATAAACACACAGTGATGTCAGTTGCTGCCAAGAGGCCACAGGAGGCTCATTGCCTTGGTAAATTTGTTGCAGTCTAAGACTTGCCCCTCAGCTTTGCAAACCCAGAAACTTTTTTTTTTTCTTAGTTTTTTGCCTGCAGATGAAAACTAGGTTTGTATCTCAGGGGCAGACTCAAACTCAATTTACAAATCGAATGTATCCAGACTGCCAGTATGATAATTTGTAAATACATAGCACAGTAATCAGGACCTTGGAAATACCACGACCTTGCATGATCCTCGTGTTGTTTGTCCTGGAGTTTTTCCACGGGAACCTGAGCCACAGCCCAAATGCCTGCTCATAGACACGCAGTTAGACGTAGCTGCTGTGGAGACCAGCATTTCGGAGCCCCATTGCCAGCAGATTTGCTCCTACACAGGACTCCAGTCCTAATCAGAACACACAACTCCCTTAGAGGGACTCCACTGGAAGTGCCTGCCTCCTTCAGGGAGGAACTGAGCATGCCCCTTAGCACTGGATACCCAGAAAGTGCCTGTGGAGGCTTGGCATTGTTTATAACTTTCCTTTTTTATTTTTGACAGTATCTATTCCCCATCTCTTCCGTGATAGAATCCTGTCTTTGTGTAGGCATAAACTAATGCTTACTTAATAATCAGTTAAGTTGTGTAGTATTTTCCTTACAAAATCCGAATTACAAGGGCAGTTCAGGGAGATGGTGCATATTCATCTAGGAGTTTTTCCTTCCCATGACCCTCTGTTTGGTCTTCGTGGCTATCTCATAAGAAGTGTGGTCTTACTGTTGGCCACATCCCCTCTCTGGGCCTTGTAGAGGTTCTTGAACTCTCCTTCTTAAAGAGAGTTTATTTAAATATGTTTCCTCATCTTCTCCCACCTTTGCATCTCCTGAGCCCTTCTTGCAGGCCTGGGAACCCTTGTCCCTTTAACTGACAGTGTATTCTCTACTTGGAGCCGCTGCTGCATGTGGACTTGGAAGATGTCTCAGAGCCTGTCTCATCGGCTGCCTCTCCAAGTTGCTAGAGAAAGCTCCACTCTGACCTCCCAGTCACCATTGACACACAGCTGCCAAATGCAAATTATAAGCCTGCATTCATTAAAGTGACCTTGACAGTTTTCAGAGTCCTTTTTCACACGTTTTTATTTGGTGTTCCCAATAATCAGGCAAGATCGTCAGGGCCATTTTCACAGATGAGGAGTGATGTTAGTTGTCACACATTACACAGTAACCAAGGTTACCAAGGGCCCTTTGCAAAAACACTAGGTCACCTGGGGTGAGGGTGGGGCATGGCCTGCCCAGGGTAGAGAAGGAAACCTATTTCTTTGTTCCTCCCAACACCGTGAAACAGCCTTCTGTGTTATTGGACAGAAGCTGGAGCTTCCCAGTCCAAAGAGCTTGCGTTTGGTTATTTCATCAATGTCTTGATCAAGCCCAGGTATAACGTCTGCCCTAAAGACAGAGTCATTCTTCTACCCTGAGAGACTCTCTATACAATGTGGTGGTTTAGATTCACCAGTTTTTTCCATTTCCAGCTAACCAAGAGTTCAGGTACTGAAAGCCATCTAATCTCAGAGAAATTTAAAGCTAAATAAAGGATTCTTAAAACAGATCTTTACATGTCCAGTTTTTAAAGCCTCCATTTTACCGAACAGGAAGTTTGCAGAATGATCACATTAGCACCAGAGCCTTGGACACTCAAGTGAACTTGAGCCCACAAAGTCAGCCCGAAACCCCGCCCACTCTTCTCAGAGTCACTGCTTCTAGCCTGCGTCGTCTGGTAGAACAAACCTTACTGCACACTGTTCCTGCCGCTGACTTCAAATAAACTGCAGTTTCTACTCGATTCCCAAAGAAAGCTCAAGTATGAAAGTGCCCCTGGCAGCCAGCTCCCCTGTTGAGTTACTATATTGGGTGTTCTTTCACTAGTTCTGGAGTAGTGAAGACTGGTTGGCAGGGATATGGCTCTTTAAATACAAAATTTATTCTTTTTCTTTTTAAAGACATGTTTCAAGCCGACCCCACCTTCTTGGCTCAATGTGAGGACTTATTATCTAAATTCATGTACATACACACACTCACTCTAACTCTGGGATGTAAAATATTTCTTAGTTTTTACTTTTTATCTCTCTTTGCCTTAAAAAATGGGATCCCTCTTAAGTTTCCTGAATGCCAGTTCTCAGCAAAAATGGATGCCTTATGAATATGTAGATGAATTTTAATAAAATGATACGAATGCAGCAGCTCTGCGTGTTCTGAAAAACGTTTCCAGAGCCCCGTGAGACTTTCAAATGCTCCTGGGAGATGAGGCTTCCTGCAGAGAAAAGGAAACCGAGAGAATAGGACATGATTGGATCGGTTCCGTTTACTATGATGTAGCATGAAAAAATGCTGCCTTATGTCTCTTTTTAAATTCTCCTATAGCTGCATAAGCTCATGTTCAGTAAGTCATTCAACCTAGGTCTGCTCGTCTCAGCAATTCCCGCTGTGTTAAGTGGGACCTAATTGCAGAGGATAGCTGCCTCCTAACGCGGAGTCCTTATTTCATTAGCATTACAGATTGGGTTCTTGGGAAGGACATTCTTTGGTAATTTGTTTACAGATGAAGTCTTGCAGATTCTCACTTCCTTAATCTAACAATCTGCTAATTCTTAAAATTGGAAAAAAGAAAGAAAAACCAGCCTGTCAGTCTACTTGTCAGGAAAGACTTAGATGTCAGGAGCTCTAATGAGGTGCGATATTAATTCCTGCCTGCTTTTTTCCCCCAGACAACCGTGAACAGTTTCCCCCCAAAAACTAGTATATTATGCAATTTCTCATGATTAATTAAAACAATAACTATAATAAAAGAAGCCCATTTTGTGATTCTGACCTAATTGCTTTTTAATTGCACTGCTTTTCATGTTTATTTTCAAAATTCACTTCTCTGAAGTAGTCACGAGGGAAAACGAGTGTCTGTTGAGCACTTTCTCTGAAGGTGCGGCCATTGCTGTGAAATTGCTGGTCATTGTTTGGCAGCTGCTAGACCATCCACTTTAGTTCTTAACTCCTTAAATGTTTTTAGCGATGGCTGAGTTCCAAATATATATATTTTTAATCTATCTCCTTCGTCCACTGATTTCCCATCTGAGATATTATCTCTAATTTTGGGGGCAGATAATTCATGGCTCTGGCAAACAATATTAAGAGCTACAGTGGGCTTATATTAGGGCCAGGCACAGTGGCTCACGCCTGTAATCCCAACACTTTGGGAGGCCAAGGCAGGCAGATCACGAGGTCAGGAGTTCGAGACCAGCCTGGCCAACATGGTGAAACCACGTCTCTACTAAAAATACAAAAATTAGCCAGGCATGGTGATGGGCACCTGTAGTCCCAGCTACTCGGGAGGCTGAGGCAGGAGAATCGCTTGAACCCGGGAGGCGGAGGTTGCAATGATCCGAGATTGTGCCTCTGCACTCCAGCCTGGGTGACAAGAGCAAGACTCCGTCTCAAAAGAAAAAAAAACCTACAGAATAATTTTTTTTTAATGTATTGGTCCCCTGGAAGGCATAAGAGTGAAGGGAATGTTTCCCTCCCCATCTGAAGGTTTGAATCTTTATGTCAGCTGAAATAAACTGACAATAGATTAATAAATTTGTTATTAATGTGCAAATGTGCACAGGAGCCACACAAAATATGAGACTCAAAGAAGGGCCAGATGGTTGAAGCTTAAATACTCTCTGCATAGGGGAGAGGCAAGTGAGGGATGTAGGCAATTTTAGAAGAGTAAATGATGTTTAGGGGAGATGATTAGGATGGAAATGCAGACAATAGCCGGGAACAAATTTCCTCCACAGGGTCTCGGGGAGGTGGCAACAAGTTATGGGAAGGCGAGGGGCAGAACTCTATTGTGAACAGAGGTTATTTTATCATGCAGATAAATCTCTCAGGTGACAGCCTTTAGAAGAATAATTGAAAGAATACGTGAAAAGGCTCTCCAAGAGTGGGGTCTTGGTGTGGGCTTTTAGTTTCTTCTGCTATATGAGTTAATCTCTGGTTAATGTAGATTCCAGAGAGGGGGTCCAAGACAATTGCACATCTTCTGGATGAACTTCCCTCAGTCAGATAAGAGAACTTGAGACAAAGTCCCTCCCTGTGCTTCTGAAGGGAAGTTGGAGGGGGTGGGGAGGAGAAGGTCAGAGAGAGACCTTGGTTCTGAGGCTTATTTCTGAGGTCTGTGAATCTCCTTCTTTCAAAGCACTCAGCATGCCAAAGCAATATAATTTGGGGTATCATTTTCGGAGCCCCAGCAAAGATTTTCTGCTGCTTCAATTCCGGTGCCAGTGTGTTTAACTGCTAGAGTTGCAGGAACATTGTGCAGATAATAAATGCCAGCATGGAGGAAACCTTGGCATGGGACAGACAAACAGGCCCCTCTTGCCGCCTCACAGGCAAGACTGTTCATCCTCAAGACCACGGGGCATCAACATCACCATTTAAGAACCATTTTTCTGAAACCAAAGCCTCTTTTCCAAGCTGGTATCAGTAGTATTACCAATTTAGTAACTCTGAATGGAGTCAAACCAGAAATTAAGTGTTTCTAGAAGTCCTCGTGGGCTGTCAGTCCTGCCCAGGTGTGTTGTTCTCTCAGGATTCTCTGGGAACATTGCTCTGTACTAGGATGCTCTTAGGTCTGTAGACCCTGCTTTGAAGGGTTCCTCCTGATGGGTTCTGCTGAGCCCGGTAAACCTTTACTGCTTATTTCTAGTATATGATACTTTAGCATCTTCCACCTATAGCTATCAGCTATTTTTTAAAACAGCTATTCTGACTGAGCACAGTGGCTCATGCCGGTAATCCTAGCACTTCAGAAAGCTGAGGTGGGAGGATTGCTTGAAGCCAGGATTTCGAGACCAGCCTGAGCAACAGAGTGAGACCCCCATCTCTACAAAAAATAAAAAAAAATAGCTGGATGTGGTGGCACACCTGTAATCCCAGCTACTTGGGAGGCTGAGGTAGGAGCATCACTTGAGCCCAGGAGTTCAAGGCTGCAGGGAGCTATGAACATGCCACTGCACTCTAGGATGGGTGACAGAGTTGGACCCTGTCTCAAAAAAAAAAAAAAAAAAAAAAAAGCTACTTACTGTTCTTCTAGTCTTGTGTCTGTCTGTAGAGCCCAAATTTGAGAGGTGCCATGTTGAAATCTGCACCTGCTTTGTAGGTCTGGCCTCTGAATCAGCTTCTGTGCAGAGGTGATCCCAGGGTTCTTCCCTACTGCTGGAAGAGGAGAGCTCAGGCAGGCTCAGGGTCCCATTGACTGTACCCTCACTCCATCTCCCCATCTTCATCTCACCACTGCCCTTTGGGGTATTTGGGGATGGCCTTCCAGGGCAAGGGACATGCATCCCTGCTGTCCCAGGAAGGGAAAACCTCCAGTGGGTCTGCTGTTCGTGGTGAGAACCAAGTTCCAAATATCACCGGAGTACCACATGCTTGTTGTAGGCAATGTAGAAAACAAGAAAAGAGCAGTGGCGCACAGTTGGTTCTGCCCTTCGGAAATTACGACTGCAAATTGTGAAAAGCGCATCTCTAGAGGTGTATCTGCTTGAGAGTAGAAATGGGATTTCACTGTTTTAAAACACTTTTTTTTAACGTGTTAGAAAGATGTTCTCAATATGTTACTTTTTGCCGAAATCGTTCATCTCTCAGAACGTAACTCCGGTTGTGTTTTTCTGTTTCCTTATGTCCCGTTGGCAGTTCATCTCAGAACAGGCCAGGAACTTCTGCAGATAACAAGTTAATCATAGCATGTCCATCCCAGTTGGTCAGTCTGCCTGTTCTCTGAAGGGCTAAACAAGCTGTGGCTGCTCTGGGGGTCATTGTTCAGAGGACCATCTTTCTCTTCCTGCAGGTGTCAGCGGAAGCAGTGGCGGGTGGATCTGCCGGCCACCAGCGTGGTGATCACGTTTCACAATGAAGCCAGGTCGGCCCTACTCAGGACCGTGGTCAGGTGAGGCCAGGAGATGCATTACCTGTCAGGGGTGTTAAGACATTAGCTGTGTCCCAGGCACAGTCAGACCAGGGCTGTCAGTGGGGGCTGCAGACAGGGTCTCCTGACTGCTCAGCACAGGGTGCAGTGTGTAGCTCCTCCAACCAAGGGTTAGGACCAACATATGAGAATTTTCTACCCCAGGCTAAAAGTTTATACCCCTAAAAGACCTATAAACTTTATCTTCTTGTCTTTTCTTAGCGTGCTTAAGAAAAGCCCGCCCCATCTCATAAAAGAAATCATCTTGGTGGATGACTACAGCAATGATCGTGAGTACTGACACTGATTTTATCCCTGTGTCTGGCTCTTCTCTGGGCACCAGTCTTCCTGTAGTGGGGGTGCTAATGAGGCGTGAACAAGCCAGAAATCAGATCCACAGAAAGAAGAGGTGCCTCTGTGATGCCCCAAGGAGATAATCGGCCCTTAGATGATTGAGAATACTATGGTTGAATGCAAAGCCCTTTATGAACTCCAGGTTCAAAATGCTCTGCTTCTTTTCTTTTCCTAGCTGAGGACGGGGCTCTCTTGGGGAAAATTGAGAAAGTGCGAGTTCTTAGAAATGATCGACGAGAAGGTAAGATTCTTCTTAATTCAGCGCCAAGACAGTTGAATTCTGACTTTTCCTGTAATAACATAAAGAAGTGCTTTAGCTCAAAGAGCAATTAATTGTCTAGCTTTTTTCTGTCTCCCTCTACCAGAGCCGCTTGGGAGACTTCTCCCAGCAAACACAGGAAAGACATTAAAAGCTTGACTAATTGAAATTATTAGTATATTAGAGCAGGATCAAATTACATTTTCATTTATGTATTTAGAAAATTGGCTTCTTTCTTTCACAACCTAGGAAGTCTTATCAGTCCCTTGAATACAAAAGTTTAGAAGAAAAACAAAGATTTAGCAATAAGAAGTTGAATGACTCCATGCTCCAGGCATCTGATAAAATAACCGGGATTCAAGTTTGACAGCCTGCTGAAGGTGAACCATCCAAAATGGGGAGACAGTACTGCAATTATATGCTCATGCGATTTTGCAAATGCCAACCTCGGAACCTTCTGTCAGTCTTATCTGTGCTGGAGCTGAGCTCATGAGGACTCTTTTATTGGCAGTTAGAAGAGAGGCTGTAAAGGAGGAAAGTAGTACACTGGAGTGTCTGGGAAGGAAGCTCCAATCACAATGTAATTAACATCCAGTGTGTCAGTGCTGTTAGAGACCCTGAAGACTGAATTGTTAGGCTCCTCCATGGTTGGGAGAAATCTTTCAGTATAGGAAAATCACAGAGCTTTGGAACCCATGCCACATTTGCTATTTAAGTCTGACTGTTGATCCAGGGGTGGTGATTGTATTCCTTCATCAGTGTAAAACTCTTTCTTCTCATTACATATGCACTCCAGCTGGAGTCAAGGAGTGAAGTTTTTCTTACCAGGAATCTTATTGGCCAACACAGTGATTGAGCCTGTTAGAACAGCATCATATTTTAACCAACTAGGGTCATCAACCTAGACATTCAAGATACATAAACAGTGGGATAAGCCTTGCCTTCTAAACAAGCTGTTTGCCAGACTCACATCAGTCCACCAAGCCTGGAATAAACCAAAAAGGGGGCAATTTGCTGCCCCCTAAACACCTTCAAAATAACTTTATGAATTTAAACCCAAAGTATCTGCCATCCTACCCCATCACCTGGCACAGGCTTTAAAAAAAAAAAAAAAGAGAAGTGGGGAAGGAGGAAAGAGAGATAGTGTTGGCACTGTAAATCACTTATGAGCCTTATCTAACAGTGTCTTTGTCTTTAAACTGCTTAGAAATCAGAACAATGCTTCTCAGTATTAACTTTCCGCTAGAATGTTCATTTCGGTTGAACCCGTGCTGATACGTTGTTTCGGGGAAGGCATGAGAAGGGTGGGTTGGGAGAAGCCAGATTATGGAAAGCCTATATGGAACAGCTGAAGTCTGTAACAATTGAATGAGAAAATATGTGCACACTTGCACACACACTCATGTATATATGTACCCATGTGTGTGTATAAGATCCCATCTATGTAAGCATACACACAAAGTGCTTGTAGTGATGCTACTAGATGACAAAGTAAATTAATTGCCTAAAATATTATGGTAGTGAAAGCAGTCTTAGGATCATTCTTCTGTGGATTTTATTGTGCATTGATTCTTAACCTAGCAATTTATTAGAAGCACCTAGGGAATTTAGGACCATGTCTTGCCCTCATTCACAATTAAATAGAAATTTCTGGATTTCTCTGGGTGGGGTGTGGGCAGCTGCATTTTTAAAAGCTGCTAAAATGATGCCGATGTACAGTGGAAGTTGAGAGCCTAGTACTTTCATTTTACAGATGGAAATACTAAATCTAAAGAGGCTAGGTGGCTTTCTCAAGGCCCTTACAGCTATTTAATGACAATAGTAGGACCAAAACCATGTTAATAATGAGATAAATCTTTTTCTCTGCATTTGTGGAGATAGTCAAGTGGTATTTCTTTTTTTAATCTGTTAATATGGTGAAATACATTGGTTGATTTTCAGATGTTAAACCAGCTTTGCATTCCTAGCATAAGCCCCAGTTGGTCATGATACAGTATCCTTTTAATATATTTTTGTTAAGGATTTTTATACCTGTGTTCATGGGAAACATTGGTCTGTAATTTTCTTAAAATGTATTTTTCCAGTTTTGGCATTATGGTTTACTAGCCTTATAAAACAAGATGGAAAGTGTGCCCTTCTATTTTATTTTCTAAAAGAGTTTGTATAATATTTTAATTATTTCTTTTTTAAATGTTTAATAGAATTAGCCAGTCTGGACCAAGAATTTTCTTTATGGAAAGATTTTTGATAACTAATTCAATCTCTTTAATGGATATAGGCGTATTCAGATCTGCTGTTTCTTTTTGTGTCTGTTTCAAGAAATTTTGTATTTTATCAACGTTTTTATATTTATTGGCTCAAAGTTGCTTATGATATTGTCTCTTTTTTTACTGTTTGTCGGATTAGTATTACTATTTTATTGATTTTGGTAATTTATATCTTCTTATTTTCTTTATCTGTCTGCTGTTCATCGACGCTGTTCATTTTTTAAAAGAACCAATATTTGGCTTTTGTATTAGGATTCTCCAAAAGGACAGAACTAATAGGATAGATGTATATATAAACAGGAGTTTATTAAGGAATATTGACTCACACAATCACAAGGTGAAGCCCCACAATAGGCCATCTGCAGCCGAGGAGCAGGGAAGCCAGTCCAAGTCCCAAAACCTCAAAAGTGGGGAAGCTGACAGTTCAGCCTTCAGTCAGTGGTTGAATGTCCAATAGTCCCAAAGCTGAAGAACTTGGAGTCCAATGTTCAAGGGCAGGAAGCATCCAGCGTGGAAGAAAGATGTAGGCCGGGGGAGACCAAGCCAGTCCAGTCTCTCTACATCCTTCTGTCTGCTTTTATTCTGGCCGTGCTGGCAGCTGATTAGATTGTGCCCACCCAGATTGAGGGTAGTTCATTTACATGTGGCGTAATCATTGGTGTGACTAGGTTTGGGTCTGCTCTTCGGCTGTTTCTTCTCTATTTGTACCATGTGCATTTTGCTTTTTGTAACTGTGTTCCTGCTTTCTTGCCTTCTTTTGGATTCAGTGATTTTTTTAGTATTCCATTTGAATTATTCTTGTAGCTTTTCAGCAATACTTTTCATGTATGCACAGTTGCCCTGAGAATTACAACATACAGCTCTAACTTACAACAGTCTGCTTAAGAGTCAACATCATACCACTTTAAATTTAAGAATTTTACAATAGTTAAATTGCATTTCCATTTCCCTTCCTATGTACTATCGTTATCATGCTTTTCTTCTACATACATCTTAAACCCCACAATACACTGTTACATTTTTACTTCAAATAGTCAGTATCTATTAAATAAAGAGAAGAATATGTGGATATGTTAAGCTTATCCTCATATTTTCCATTTGTAGTATCTTTGTTTCTTTCCATAGATTGGAGTTTTTATTTAGCCCGAATAATTTTCTTTAGAATTTTTTCTCATAGGCAGCACAATCTCAGGTTTTATCTGAAGAATTTTTTTCTCCTTTGTTATTGGAGGCTATTTTCTTTCAGTGGAATCTGAGTTGACAATTAATTTTTCTTTCAGCACTTTAAAGGTTTCACTCCAGGCAGGGCACAGTGGCTCACGCCTGTAATCCCAGCACTTTGGGAGGCCGAGGTGGGCGGATCACGAGGTCAGGAGTTTGAGACCAGCCTGGCCAACATGGTGAAACCCCGTCTTTACTAAAAATACGAAAATTAGCCGGGCATGGTGGCATGCGCCTGTAGTCCCAGCTACTCGGGAGACTGAGGCAGAAGACTCGCTTGAACATGGGAGGCGGAGGTTGCAGTGAGCCAATATTGTGCCACTGCACTCCAGCTTGAGTGACAGGGTGAGACTCTGTCTCAGAAAATTCATACTGTTGTTCCTTTGTATGTTATGGGTCATTTCCTCTGGCTGCTTTTTGTCTCTATATCTGTTTTTTTTTTTTAACAATTTGATTATGATGTGCCTAGATTTAGTTTTCTTTATATTTATCCTGCTTCAAGTTTGCTGATGTAAATTGAATATGTAAGATGATGTTTTCCACCAAGTTTGGGAAATGACTGGCCTTTTATTTCTTCATGTATTTTTTTCTGACTCATTCTTGAACTTCAGTTGCACATATGTTATACCACTTGTTATTGTCCTATAGATGACTAGACTTTTCCCCCTTAATTTTTTCTCTGTCCACCAGATGGATCTATTTCTGTTGTTCCATCTTCAAGTTCACTAGTCATTCTGCCATCTCCATTTTGCTACTAAGACCAGTCAGTGGATTTTTCATTTCAGATAATTTCATTTTTAAGTTCTGGAATACCCATTTGATTCTTTTTTATAGTTTTTATTTCTCTGCTCAGATTCCCCACCCATTCACTCATTAAAATTGTTGCCTTTGAGTTATTAAACATATTTATAATAGCTGCTTTTAAATCCTCCCCTGCTAATTCCAACCTCTGGGTCATCTCAGGGTGAACTTCTGATGACTTTTTTTCTCTTTGATGTGGTCTCCATTTTCCTGTTTCTTCTCATGTGTAGTGGTTTTTTATTTTATAATTGACATTGTGGATGATATGTTGTAGAAACACTGGATTATGTTATCTTTCTCTAAAGAGTATTCATCTTTGTTATATTGGGCAGTTAAATTACCAGATGATGATGCTGAACTTCTGTAGGCTCTTTTTGTACTTTGCTAGGATGAGTATGGTTTTTTTTTTTCGTTTGTTTGTTTGTTTGTTTGTGACAGCGTTTCTCTCTTGTTGCTCAGGCTGGAGTGCAGTGGTGTGATCTCAGCCCACTGCAACCTCTGCCTCCTGGGTTCAAGCAATTCTCCTACCTCAGCCTGCCGAGTAGCTGGGATTACAGGCGCACGCCACCACGCCTGGCTAATTTTTTGTATTTTTAATAGAAACGGGTTTCACCATGTTAGCTAGGCTGGTCTTGAACTCCTGACCTCAGGTGATCTGCCCACCTCAGCCTCCCAAAGTGCTGGGATTACAGGCGTGAGCCACCACGCCCGGCCATGAGTTTGTTTTTATGAGTCCCTTATTCTTGATACATAGTCTATATTCCTATGTGTGGTCTTTCTGAAGTTCCTGTAGAAGAACTGAGATCTTTACCAAGCATGTCACACTTGGCAGAACTCAAATTCCAAACTTTGTTTTCTCTGCAGTAGATAGCAGCTGAAACTCAGTTTTTTCTGCCTTCTTAACTGTTGCTTTTCATGTTGGACTTGGTTCCTGTGTGGTTCAGAAGTCAGCCAAAGATTTAACAGGAGGTTATTGCCAGATTTGGGTCCTACCTCCTTTCCAGGATCTCCTTCAGTTTCCAGATACCAGAAGCTCTGAACTCTCTATCCTCTAACAACTCAAGCCAAAAAAGGCTACATTGCAGTGGATTGGAGCGCATCCTCGTGGAAAACGCCGTATAAACACGGAGCTTACTCAGTGTTATTTTCTTATTTTAAGGGGTTGGATCCTATCTAGTTTCTGTCTGCTTCTGGCTTTCAAATTGCTGCTTTTTATATTTTGCTCAGAGTTTATAATTGTTACTGGAGCAAAGGTTTGCCCCATACAAGTTGTTTTGCAATTATCACAACTTAAAATCTTTAGTCTTTTTCCCTGTTCTAGCATACAGCCACATAGGAATCACTGAAAACCCATTTTGACTGTGGAAAAAAGTACTTAGCAGACTTGTCCTCACCGGTTATGAATAGTTGCATCATCTTCACATAGAAAGCCCAGCATATATAGCAAAAGCCATTTATGACCACAACATCCAGGGATAAATATACTATTATTTATTTTATTTTATTTTTTATTTATTTTGAGACAGGGACTCACTCTTATCACCCAGGCTGGAGTGCAGTGGCGCAATCATGGCTCACTTCCCAGGCTCCAGTGATCCTCCCACCTCAGCCTCCCGAGCAGCTAGAACCACAGGCGCACGCACAGGCCACCACCCACGGCTGATTTTTGAAATACACTATTTGTATTTTGTGTCATAATGAACGTGCACATTATTAACACATCACAAGTATATAAATTGTAGAATTTGACCAATAGTATAACTAATTTTGTGTAAAAGGCAGACAGCAGGGCTTTGCAACTTATGTTATTTAGCTCCTGATAAGTCTTAGAAGACAGAGATAGTCACAACACTGTTGCAAATATTATCACCACTAAAATCAACACCATTAGCACTGGAAGTCTCTGGGTGACACCTTCCTTAGCCCAGTTAGTTAGAAAACTGCTGCTGTGTCAGAGGAATGTAGTTATAAAAGTTCCACATTTTGGTTAGTTGATAAAGGAGACTTCAGTAATGTAAAGGGCCTTTCTCAGAAGACGGTAGTTCTAAGAACGTTGTCCTCCCAGTCATCCAATATAACTATTAAAATTAAAAGTTCTGACAATAGTCTGTCTCATGGAGCAGTTTTGATCTCATCCAGCAAGTTTACAGTAATGTCCGTGCCCAGAAAGCAGGCTGCAGAGCTGCGGGCAGGGAGGCGTCGCCGGTTGGCATGGGGTTGTGCTGGCCCTGTGGCTTCTCTCTCCTGACGTGCTTTCCAACTCGCCTCTGCAGGCCTCATGCGCTCACGGGTTCGGGGGGCCGATGCTGCCCAAGCCAAGGTCCTGACCTTCCTGGACAGTCACTGCGAGTGTAATGAGCACTGGCTGGAGCCCCTCCTGGAAAGGGTGGCGGAGGTGAGATGACGGGGGCTGGGAGGGGTGTCAGGTCGTGGGTGGTTGGTAGAGGGGACAGAAGGGAGCATGGTCCAGGGGAGGTGTAACGCAGGGAGTAGGGCGTCAGGGCTGGTAGGGGCTGAGCTCGCCGTCTGCAGTTTTCCTTGATAGAAGGAAAATGCCTTTGGGGCATTGTAGAAAGACTGTTTTACTGGCTGTAGGAATCCATCAGTAGGAGGAACCATCCGTTGACAGGTAGGAGGCGAGGATCAGCAGAGGCTGGTGAGAGCCTGATTAGTTGAAGGCAGCCCTTTTCATGGGAGCAGTTTCCTTCCCCGCCTACAGCTTCGCAGAGTGCTTAGAACATTGCCCGGCACCTAGCAAGTGCCATCTCTTGCAGCTCGCAGAGCGGGGCGTGCTGGGGAAGCTGTCCCTGGGGCCACCTCTCTGCTCTTAGTGAGTAGGGCAGGTTAGCCCAGCAGGCTTCCAGGCTCCTGTGGGAGAGGGTTGTGGCTAGGAAGCATACAGGGACCGGTGGGGTTGTCAGAGGGTGATCCGCGGCTCCACTTCTGCACCTTCTGCTTTCTAGAAACATCATTGCTAATATTACATTTGGCCTTTTTTCACTTCTCTCGCCTTCTGCTTGTTTTATTGACTTTTCTTTCCTTCCTACTAAGAAAGCACTTCCTTGGGGGCGATAAAGCAAACTTAATGAAAGGAAATAGAAAATGAACAAGTAGTTCTGCCTAAGCATAGCAAGGATAGCTGATGGGCTGTGAGTCATGGAATACTAAGTAACCACAAGCTACTAGGAATTATGAAGATCATATTCATTACCCTTTATCAAGTTGGGGCTAGGCCTTTTTTATATGTTACCTGTAATGCACTTGTTATCTCCGTTTGACAGGTAAACAGGCTGGGGTTCAGGGAACTTTAATAATGCACGCAAAATCATACAGGTAGCAGAGCCAGGCTTGCAAAGCCAGTTTCATTAAATCCCTATCTGAGCCCCTCTCTTAACACATGTGCATACAGCTATATCCAAGAAGAACCCACCCTGGAATCCCCACCCACCCCAACCCCACAACTTCTTGCTCTCCCTGGCTACGCTCCGCCAGGCTGTCTCTCAGGGAAGCGCAGTCAAAACCAAAACTGCCATGGCAGTGTTTGGGTGTGCGAAGGTCACCGAGCTCAGTGGTCAGATTGTCAGAACTGCTTCGAACGCCTGCTCCTAAATTAAGGAGAGAAAGTGCCAAGCCTATTAACTTTCACTAAATTGAGCCTTATGAAACAAAATGTAAAGTAGATTATATCCTTTAACTCATACACCTAGAACCAGACTGAGCCAGGCAAGGAAAGTTGTGTTCTTCTCTGCCCTCAATGCACCACACAGCCTACTTTTCCCTGTAGATTTGCACCTGGGTGTTACAGAGCTTTGCAGTGTTTGCGTGTTCCTAATTAGCATGTTCCTTCACCTGTTCCTCTGATGTAGTATGTTCTTAGCTCTGCTGGTTCTGTTACTAAGTTGTATTTCTAAATCTTTCTTCTGGCTAATAAGGGTTCTCTAAGTGGCTCAGGGAAAACACTTGCTCTTTGGTTAACTGTCAGCATGGGGCACAGTCCAGGGTCTCTCACCAGCATCCGTCATTTGAGCTTAAAGAGGTTAGAGATGTTAAAAGGCCTTATGTTCACAAACTCTTACCAGAATGATGGCAATGTGGCATAAAGACATGGCTCAATCTAGGGGGATTTTTTTTTTTTAATAGAATCACAGGGGCTGGACGCAGTGGCTCACGCCTGTAATCCCAGCACTTTGGGAGGCCGAGGCAGGCAGATCACCTGAGGTCAGAAGTTCAAGAATAGCCTGACCAACATGGAGAAATCCCATCTCTACTAAAAATACAAAAATTAGCTGGGCGTGGTGGTGCATATCTGTAATCCCAGCTGCTTGGGAGGCTGAGGCAGTAGAATCACTTGAACCCGCGAGGCGGCGGTTGTGGTGAGCCAAGATCACGCCATTGCACTCCAGCCTGGGCAACAAGAGTGAAACTCCGTCTCAAAAAAAAAACAAAACAAAAAAACAAAAAAGATAGAATTACAGATGAGGCAAACGTAGAATCTGGAAATCTCTGGTTGATTTGGTTAACCTTCTGCTGTGATAATATTGATACTTACCACATCTCTCTCACACACACACACTCCCACATAGAAATATATTCCTAATTTTGATGTATGAGCATTTTAGCAGTGACTCCATTCCTGAAGTTTACTGCAGCTCACAAATCACTAATGGTATTTGGGCAAACAGAAAAGGACCCTTGGGACACAGCAACACAGTTTTTGCCTTTAGCTGGGTGAACTGATGGCTACCTGTCCCATAACCATGGGTGTCTCCACTCCTAGAGTGACTCCTGCTACGCACCCACTCCTGACCTCCCTCCCTGCCTCCCAGCAGGCCACAGCACATCTGTGGATGGCCAAGAGCAAGACCTTCTGGGTCTGGGTGGGGAGGCTGGGTTCTTGAGGGCCTAGGGTAGTAGGTAGTAAGGGCCAGTTGGGTTTGCCCTGTGCCTGCCTAATACTAATGCCTTCTGTGGTTGGGCAGGTTTTTTGTTTTGCTGGGATTTTGATAACTACTCCTCTCTTTGTATTTTAGGACAGGACTCGGGTTGTGTCACCCATCATCGATGTCATTAATATGGACAACTTTCAGTATGTGGGGGCATCTGCTGACTTGAAGGGCGGTAGGTGTCTGTCATGGTGCCCCTGCCTAGCTCGTCCCGTCTACACCAGCATCTGATCACCACTCCCTCTCATTGTCAGGAGTGACAGTGACAACAGTGTTCACGCCGTAGTGTGTGTTCTGAGTAAAAACCACCTGTGTGCTTAACGAGTAGGACTTCATAAAGAGAAAAAAAAATAGGCTTGCTCCCTTAAAGAGCTTCCTGGGTTTCCCTTTCTCCTCTTCCTTGACCTTCTGTCACTTTTGCGAGCCATGTGGTTCCATGAACAGATATGGCGTCCTTTATGACCAGAGATGATGAAGCCCTCCTTGCAGGAATCTGGGGTGAGAAGCTTCACGGAGCTGAGGCTTTGTGGGATTCAAGGGGCTGGAGCCTGTCTTTGCCTTCTCTGCTCACCCTGGCTATTTCTCTGACAGCCTGGTCTCTTTCTGGTTGCTCAGATGGAGACCTGTGTCATCCTCAACCCCCTCGCCCTCACCAAGCCCACGTGTGACCCTGTTCTGCTGATACAGCCCCTTGCATGTATCATGGTTTCTTGTACCCCTCTTTCCCAGCCCAACACCTGTGCCTACATCACCCTGGTCCCCTTCCGTTGGAATGACCACACCAGTTTCCTGTATGTCCTCACCGCACCCACCCTGGAGCCCCAAGAGCACTTTGTCTGTTTACCCTCTTAAAAATTATCAAAGACCTCAAAGAGCTTTCATCTGTGTGAAGATGAACTATTCTAGATAGACACTGGGCAGAGGGTTAACTGATGGTCTAACATCAAAAAAGAAGACAGTAAAACTATAAAATAGGGCCTTGACCAGGTGCAGTGGCTCACGCTTATAATCCCAGCACTTTGGGGAGGCTAAGGTGGGAGGATTGCTTGAGCCCAGGAGTTCAAGACCAGCCTGGGCAACATAACAAGACTCTTGTCTCTATTAAAAAAAAAAAAAAAAATTAGCTGCGTGTGATGGCATGCCAGCTACTCGGGGCTAAGGTGGGAGGATCACTTGAGCCTGGGAGGTCAAGGCTGCAGTGAGCCACGATCAACCCTGGGAGACAGAGTGAGACCCTGCTTATTCATACACACACACATATGTGTGCAAGCAAGCCTTAACCCCAGAAAACAGAATACTTGGACTTTTTAGGGAGACTCAGCCACGGTCCTAGACATTGTGGGCTTTGGCCCCACCTGCCTCTTGCAGGCCCCGTCATCATGGGCAGGCCATTTTGCCTCTGCTTCTCAGCTTCCCCCTCTGGGAAATGGGATGATAATTGTGCTGGCCACACAGGGCATAATGGAATTAGACATCAGCGGGAGGGCGGGCATGCTTGGAGGACTGTACCTAGGGTGGGAAACATAACATTCAGGAACGATTCCCAGCAAATGGTGAGAAGTAAAATGTTTGGGGACATTAAAGAGGAGGGATCCTTAGATAGCTAGAAAGCCTGGCTTTCAGAATGTTGTATTTCCCCAAGTATTCGAAGAGCTGAGATCTACCAGGCTCTATTTCTCCCAAAGCAGCTGCGTATGTCAGAGCAGGGGCAAGAACAGCCAGGTGTTCCGTGTGGGGGTGCAGGTCTTCTGGGTCAGAGGAACGGGGCCACGTTCACCCTAAGAGCATTTTATGAAATTCCTTTAGAAAAAAAATCAAGGATGCCATTCTTAACAGATCTTTAATCTGCTATAGCCTCTCTCTTTGGACCAAATTAATAAAATAAATAATAAGATAATAGTAAACATCAAAAAAACAAAGGAAAGGTTATGTCAGCTAATCCTTAACCTTCTCTGTTAGTGAAACAGCCAGGACATTGTTTTTCTGGTTTTCCTTCGTGGCCTTTGAGGCACCATGATAAGAGCCAGCTCAGGGGCCCGCAGGGGTCTCCTCTCTGTGCATTTCTGTCCCCACTGCCTGGGCCCCTGTCCATTTCCCTCTCTCTTTGCCTGAGGCCACTCTATCCTGCAGTGAGGGAGCTGGGAGGCCTCTTTGTCCAGAGCCATAAATTCTTGGCCAGCCCAGGACACTCAGAAACCCTCACCCGCCATCCTTCAGTCACTGGGGCTGTCAGGGCGGACAGACTATGAATTCAAAGCATGCAGACAAATCCAAACTTAGGCATTGCAAAAGCCCTGTTGACAAAAAGCCTGATGGCAGAGAGCTTAAGAGGATTGAAAGATGCATGCCCTAGAGTCATTAGGTTTTGCTGTCAGACCCTTGGAATTGGAAATGCAGCACCATGAGCCATGTGTTTGCCAAGAAGTGGCCTCCTGATGCACCAGGACAGCTTCCGCAGGTGGAGCCTGCTGGCCTCCAAGAGGCACTATGTGTGTGACCCTGGGAGCAAGAGCGAGACCTGAGGCCCTGCAGATGCCCACAACCAAGTCCGGGTACAGGGTCTAGGCTCTTCTATCCTCAGGGGTCTGTGGATTCCAAAAATGAAATGCAACAGGTGCCAAATATATCTGAAATTGAAGCTTATTTGCCCAGCTTGGCAACTTCCGCTGGCTCATTTTCCCTTAAAGTTTTCATATTCCCAGCATGTTCCCACTCCATTCTTGCTGCAAATACAGTCTGAAGTTTGCTGGCCCAGGGAACTGACAAAGCCTCGTTCCCTCCCCAGCATTGCCTTCCCCTGGGGCAGTGTTGGAGGTACCACGGCTTGATTTTCATGTTGGATGCTCTTTTTCCTCACATCCTTACAGCCCTTGGACATGCCCTGGTTATCACCACACAGACCCCAGTTCTCTCCCCATATTTCATTTTTTCCTATGCATTTCAATATTAGAAAAGCCTGACTCACATTTTCTTTAGGGAGGGGCAGGGAGAAGATTTCAACATTCACCCTCACTGCCGGTCTCTCTCTTCAGCTACACCCACGCCCCCAGTCCCCTTCTCTCTCCTCCACACCTTCTTTTTTGGCTTTGTTTTGGTTTTCATTGAGTTCTGTCCAAACATCGAATATTTTTAAGCTGTGAGGAATGGGGGTGTCGGGAGGAAGTGGCCAGTCTCTTGTCAACACCCTGTTTCTTTTCCTGGCTGGCAGGTTTTGATTGGAACTTGGTATTCAAGTGGGATTACATGACGCCTGAGCAGAGAAGGTCCCGGCAGGGGAACCCAGTCGCCCCTATAAAGTAAGTGCCAGCATCCTTCAGGGTGCCCCTCCCAGATGAGACCCCAGGTTCCAGCTTCTTTGCTGGGCCCGCACCGCCTGGAGACCCAGTGGGGGCTGTTCACCTTCTGCCCTCCGGTTTCCCCTCGTCTCAGCTCAAAGATGAGCACCTTCCACCAGGTCATAGAATAAAATCCTTGGAGATTTCTTTTCCACAGTTGAAGTCTCACATAGGTTTATAAGGCCTATCTGCTAGGTCTGTGCATTCCTGTATGTTGATAATGTAGAGCGTTTCTGTAGCAGAGCAGGATCTCCGAGCTGACCCCAGGCCCAGGAAAAGGGGCTTGGTGGGCAGCAGGAGGCTTACTGCTGCTACTGCCCAGCAGGCCTTTGCTCTCCTGCAGAGGAAGGAGCCCATGCTCATGAAGCCCATGCTTTTAAGATTCCCAGGCCGGGCGGTGGGCTTTCTGGTTGAGAGTCAGGATGCCTTCTCTAGCTGGGGAGAGAAGGGGGCCACCTCTTCCAAGTTGGCACACGGTTAAGTGAGATAGCATTCACAGAGTACTTAGCGCTGAAATATATTTGCTGACATTTAGCCAACATCTGCAGTGTGCCATAGACCTTCCCAGCACTTTACACTGAATTCGCACAGCATCGCTTCTGGGAACAAAGTAGGGAGCTCAGTGTACATCTGTTGTCAACCCCTTCCTGGGATGATGAAGTGAGGAGCATGGTGGGTTCCCTTGTAGGAGGTGGAGTCTCATCTATGATAGTGATAATGAGAGCTGGTGCTGTGGAGCATTTCCTAAGCGTGCTCAGGGCTTTATGCCCATGATTTTTTGCAATCCTCGTAGCTACCCTATAAGGAAACTGACACACAGAAAGGCCGAGTTCTTTGCCTATGGCAGCATGTCAGTGAGTAGTGATCCAGCCCCAGCAGTCGCTCCCACATAGGGGAGGCTCAGTCCAGCCCCTGGCACTGTGGGAACATCCAGGCAGGGACAGTGGGGGAGGCATTTGAAGGCAGCAGTGGTGAAGCAGAGAGAGTGGCATGCTGGGCACTGAGCAGAAAACAGTGGCAGTGTGGCTGTTCTGAAGATCAGCTTATTGTTAGGGAATCAAGGCTTGGCCTTGGCGCAAGGGTGCTGGCAATCTAACCTTGACTTTGCCCTCTCCTCCCTCCCCCCTCTTCTTTCTGCCTCTTTAGAACCCCCATGATTGCTGGTGGGCTGTTTGTGATGGATAAGTTCTATTTTGAAGAACTGGGGAAGTACGACATGATGATGGATGTGTGGGGAGGAGAGAACCTAGGTATGTACAAGCCTCAAATCTCAGGACAGAGAAGTGCCTCAGCTCTGCAAAAGGCAGGGTGCCAATTGGAAAAAAAATTTAAAAGGCTTCAGAGTGACCATTCACTGGGCTTAATCGATCCTTGCAAACACATATGTAACACCCCTTTTGCTCTTGAAAGTCTCATGAGTTGGGCATTAAAATGTGCCTCCCTAGGTTAGAGTGGAGGATGCCAGAATACGGATAAAGTCTTTGAAGGGAAATGCAAACTCTTTCAAGGCGTCTGAACCCAAGTGTTTGGAATGTTGCAGGCTTGCAAAAACAGAGGGAAACAGTCCAGGAGCTCAGATTCATGCTGAGTGGTGGAGAGTGGAAAATGAACCCCGGCGAGGCTGGTGGGATTGATTGAATTGAAATCATGAAAATCCGATGGGGCAGGGAGGCCTTGGCACTTAATCCCTTCTCGACTACCTTTGCGAATGGTTCTCATTTGTTTTTCTGTTTGTTTGTTTTTTTGTTTTTAAATACCCCATGCAAATTATTTTTACCCAGGTTTAGGCACAGCAAAATTTTGCACATTGTGGTCTATATTGGTAGCCTTATATTTACTGCATAAAAGATGAAAAGATGTGTTTTGTTTGTTTAGGGTTTGGAGTGGGGGAGATCTTTTTTGCTTGTTTCAATTAAAGCCTTTTGTTTCAAATGCTTGACATTCTGAGCGAATTCTCCTGGGCTGCTGAGTGTTGTTAACTTACATTCGTCCTTGGGTGAGTGTACCCTGGAGGACAGGGGAGAAGGAAAGGGGAAAATGAGGCCACTCATTTTTAATAGTTTTGAGACTTTGAAAGTTTTTGTTACTTTAAAAGAAAAGACTAGCCTAGCCTATTATTTTTCCATTGTTTTATGATGTTGAAGTCAGTGATACCATCTCATCTTTGAGGATTTCTCTGCCTTGGTTTGATGTTGAAAGCTTCTTTAGGCTCGATTACTATACTGCACGGGTGGAGAGACCGTGAGTCAAACTCCTTTTGGGTTGTTTTAAAAAAATGATACATTAACCTCTAGGGAAAGCTTGGATTGAAGTCACTTGAGTACAAAAGGCTTCAGAATTGTTAACCCTCTAAAGAGAGTTCTGTCACCCTGTTCCATGGGTATCCCCTAATGGTTTAGTGGAAATCCAGCAGGCCAGGGTCGCCCAGTAGGGCAGCGTATCGTGTAGGTGGCCATTTCTCAAAAACAGTGTGGTTTTCAGAAGTTTGCATACTATTAGCTGAAATGAGACATCAGCCAGCATTTTGTGTCATCGTGTAGGAAGAGTGTTGATTTACATATCTAAGGAGGCATTCACCCAGAGACTGGGGGGTAGATTTGTTGTAAGGAGCTGCTTTATTGTGGTTTGGTGTTTGTATTTATTATGTAGCTGTGCTAGAAGGTTCTAGGGTCTGAGCGGTTCAGGTTGGGGTGAAGATGAACCCTGCAAGCAGGAGCACATCTCTGCCCAGGAAGGCTGGGGCATCTGTCCCTCCGTGAGGGGCTCTCCTGGGTTATGCCAAGGACTTGGACTCCCAGTGAGGTTTGGAGGGCTCAAGAGCTTCACGTGAGAAGGCCATGCCGTGAGCCTTTCTCCTTAGCACTGCTCTAGCTTCTGCTTCTGGGGGCCGTGCACACTACTAGCCATTGCCAACCTGAGGGGCCTCTGTGGGTGTGCATTGGGAGAGGTGTATGGTGCAGAGAGGCCCGAGTAAGATCCAAAACCACCTCCTCAACGTGTGCCCCGCTGGAATGACCAGAGCTTCCCATTTTCCTAATCATGTAAGTCCTTATGTCATTTAAGCAATTAAAATGGAGGACCAAGAACCTAACCCTTAACTCTAACAATGGGGGTAAGGCTCCTTGGGGGCATCATCTGTGTTTCTCTACATCCCTGTCATGCAAGGATGATGCTAAGTACTTCCAGGGAATCATCTGTTTGTGCTTTCTTAACGGAGTGTGGTCTGCAGAGGTCATGACACCTTGCCCAGGGTCTCAGAACCAAGATGTAAACACTAACTGCCTAATTAAAAAGCCATTGAGTTTTACTGAGTAATTATCCTCAAAGTTATAGGGTTCAAATGAAATCAACGCTGAAGATACTGTAGTTATACTTAGCCTTGAAAATCTCCCACAAAAGCCCTGGAAGGATCCCTTGTTGGCTTAACAGATTCCCCATAGAGAAGCCAAGGGGATTTCCTAGCCCCTAATTCTAAATCTTGTGGTGAGGCAAATGGATATTTAAATTTTATTTTCTGAAATAGAGACAACTTCTTTTTTTTTTTTTTTTTTTTTTGAGATGGAGTCTCGCTCTGTCACCAGGCTGGAGTCCAGTGGCACATTCTTGGCTCACCGCAACGTTCGCCTCCCGGGTTCAAGTGATTCTCCTGCCTCAGCCTCCCAAGTAACTGGGATTACAGGCATGTGCCACCGTGCCCGGCTAATTTTTTGTATTTTTAGTAGAGACAGGGTTTCTCCATGTTGGTCAGGCTGGTCTCAAACTCCCAACCTCAGGTGATCCGCCTGCCTCGGCCTCCCAAAGTGTTGGGATTACAGGCATGAGCCACTGCGCCCAGCCGACAACTTCTTAGGTTGTGTTGGGAACTGTAAAAAGTAAAGTCGGAAACTTTCACTGCTTATGCTTATGTGATTGTAACCATACATTTTCTATTAGTACAAGAGAGTTGCTTATTAAAGCCCCGTAACAGCTGCATGGATCACCCATTCCTAGTGAGTGAGGCATTAGTTTGCTGGACCCAAGTAGAAACTCATGGTGTTCTGACCCCTGTGTTGTATTTCCTGCCATGTGCCTGGCATTCTGGGCACCTGTTGCCATAACTAGGTTGACTGCCTGCAGGATTTGCCATCAACTCACTGTATGGTCTGTGATGGACCCACCCTATTTCTGATCAATCTGCATTGGTGACAGTGACTGCACACTCTGTAGATACTATATGTGTATATTTTTACTTCTTTTAATTTGTTAATTGACAGATAATAATTGTGCATATTCATGGGATACATAGTGATGTTTTTAATACATATAATGTATGGTGATCAGATCAAGGAAATTAGCATATCCATCATCTCAAACATGTAGCATGTTTTTGTGTTGGGAACATTCAGTATCCTCCTCCTGGTTATTTGAAACTCTGTATATATTATGGGTCCCTAGAGTCACCCTACCGGGCTGTAGAACACAAGCAAGATCCCTCTTCTCTAGCTATAATTTTGTATCCTTGAAAAAATCCCTACTCCTTCCTTCCCAGCCTTTACTATCCTCCGTTATACTTTTTACTTCTATGAGATCAGTGTTTTTTAGCTTCCATGTATGGGTGAAAACATGGTATTCAACTTTCTGTTCTTACTTCACTTAATTTCCTGGGAATACTATCCAGCCAGAAAAAAAAAATGAAGTCCTGTCATTCACAGTAACTGTTGATTTTTGTCCTGCCTCCCTAACATGTTCTTAGGGATCTTAGATAATACAGAGGAAAATTCCCTTTTGTATTATACAAACCTGGTAAAGAAAAACTGTTTTTTGCCTTTCAGAAAATTCTTAGTTTTTTTGTTGAATCTGTTTCTTGCATTCAGTCGGACCCCTGACTCAGACTCCAGTCACTCACCTAGTCAGTGGTGATAAGGGCAGGTACCTGGTTGGAAGGTACCTGTGTGTCACAAAAGGCACACCAGTCAGTCTAAGCTTCGACTGAGTTCCAATGCTCAGGGCAGTCTGTGTGTTTAAGTAGGTGTGGGTAGTGCCTAGACCTACACATCTCATTCCTCCTGCCGGTCAGTTCTGTGTTGAAGCAAGTCAACAGCAGCCTTCCCCAGGGAGCATTCCTACCTGGGCCAGCTGGTTACTGACTGGTCCAAGCCTGTGAGCAGCGTGCAGATATCAATCAGTTACTTGACTGTCCTTGGTCACTACCATAGTCCATAAGGCAGTCCCTAAGTCCATAGTCCGTAAGTCCAAACTCTGCCTGGAGACTTGAGCCTGCTAATACACAGGGACTTGTATTTAATAAACTTTTCCATTTGAGGGAAGGGATTATTTTTCCCTGGATGAGAAAAGCCAAGATGCATCCTGGGGTTCAGTCTGTTAAAAATAAGTTTTAGAGAAAGATGGCATATATGGTTGTCTAGAATATGTAACAATAAAGCTTAATTGTACATATTTATATACCTTCAGTGTTGCCTTTTCCCACGGTGTTGATACGAAGCAAGTGCAAATGATCGTGAGCCAGCTAGTGAAGAATTCAGCACAAGTGTTTTGTCACTCAGTAGTTACGATGATACTGGGGTATACATGATCTTATGCCAAGAGGCCTTTATATTTACAGTAGACCAAGAAGCATTCTTGTCTCAAGGTGTCTACTCCACATCTGAAAAATATTTCCCCGTGAACATTTTTTCTTGATTGTATTGTGGTCCAGAGATCCAAGTGTGTCAAATGTCTCTCCTTTAGAGAGTTCTGCATCAGGTTCTGGAAGGAGGAAGGTCCTTATCAGATCTCCTTCAGCAGCAGAGGGCATGGGAGCCCCATGATGGGATGGTCAGGGGGCCTCTGTACCTGCTTGGTGTGTCTGCTGTTGCAGAGGTGCGTCCCAGGCTCTGTCAGTCACCTGTGTCTTGTTCATCGTCTCAGAGATCTCGTTCCGCGTGTGGCAGTGTGGTGGCAGCCTGGAGATCATCCCGTGCAGCCGTGTGGGACACGTGTTCCGGAAGCAGCACCCCTACACGTTCCCGGGTGGCAGTGGCACTGTCTTTGCCCGGTAAGTAGTGAAAGGCTGAGCGGGGTCCAAAACATTGATGACTACCCTGAAAGCAGGACCTGACCTTGGGCTGTTTGAGGACAGATGTCCTTCAGTGGGTGTGGTGCATTTATACAATGGAATACCACTTAGCAATTGAAAGGCGCATTCCACGGATGCAGGATACAACCTGGGCGCCTTTCCAGGGCATGATGCTGAGTGAGAGAAGCAGTTACATACATGATTCCACTCATGTCACAGCCTCATAAAAACACAGCTTTAGGGATGGGGCCAGACCAGTGGTGGCCAGGAGCTGTGATGGCAGGAAAGCGGGGAGTGTGACTGCAGAGGGGCAGCACCAGGGATGTTTGGAGGAGGGACGGAGCTGTTCTGTCTCCTGGTTGTGGTGGTAGTTGGACAAATCTTCATGAGTGTGAAGGCTCTTAGAACTGTACACCACCCCCCAAAATGTTATGGGAAAATTTTTTAAAGAAGAAAGTTCATTTTATAACCATTCAAGGTGCAATTAAAAGCAACATTGTCTTAGTCCATTTTATGCGTCTCTAACCAAATACCACAGACTGGGTAATTTAAAATGAACAGAAATTTATCTACTCATAGTTCTGGAGGCTGAGAAGTCCAAGATCAAGGTGCTGGTGTCTGGCGAGGGTCTTCTTGATGTGTCATCACATGGTGGGAGGGCAAAGAGAGGGCAGGAAAGAGCAAGAGGGGGCCAAATTCTCCCTTTTATAATAGCATCAATCCCCCCCATGAGAGTGGAGCCCTCATGGCATAGTCACTTCTTAAAGGTCACCTCTTAAAGGCCTCACCTCGGCTGGGCATGGTGGCTCATGTCTGTAATCCCAGCGTTGCGGGAGGCCGAGATGGGCAGATCACCTGAGTTTGGGCAGATCAGGAGTTTGAGACCAGCCTGGCCAACATGGAAACCGCATCTCTACTAAAAATACAAAAATTAACCGGGCATAGTGGCAGGCGCCTATAATCCCAGCTACTCGGGAGGCTGAGGCAGGAAAATCGCTTGAACTCGGGAGGTGGAGTTTGCAGTGGGCCAAGATCGTGCCTCTGCACTCCAACCTGGGCAACAGAGCGAGACTCTGTCTCAAAAAAAAAAAAAAAAGCCTCACCTCTTAATACTGTTATAATGGCAATTAAAGTTTAACATGAGTTTTGGAGGGAACAAACATTCAAACCATAGCAAATATTAAAGTCAAGCTGTACTAATTGTGTATACCACAAGACATCGTGACACAGAGTCACGATTCTTGATGGAGAGTAGATATATTTTAGTAAACATGAAGATGCCAACGGAAGGGCTTTCCGAAAGTAAAATAGCAAATAGCCGTTCTATCAAGCCAAGTGTCCTTCTAGGGAATTCTCTTACATGCTAAAGATAGAACAGCGTACAAGCCAGATCTCAGGGAGATTGCCTTCTCTTGAGTGTAGACAGCAAAACACACAGCTAAATAAGGTATTTTCAAATAGTAATCAATGCTGTGAAGAAGGTAAGATGCAGTCATGTGGTCGGGCATGATTAGGACAAGCAGTAGGAGAGGTTTTCATGGTCAAGAGAACCTTTGAGGAGGTGTTATGTGAGTTCAGACTTGAAAGGTGGGAGGAGGTCCCTCTGGGACCCCGAGGAATCAGACTACCTGCAGGAGGAGCAGATCCAGGCTGCTGAGGTGCGTTTGGCATATCAGCCAAATGGAAGCCAAGGGTAGCTGGAACCTAGAGAGTAAGGGGACAGTGCACAGGGGCAGAAGAGCTAGACAGGCCCGGGCCATGCACCTTTGCAGGTCATGGGAAACGTTGGATGTTATTTGATTCTGAAGGAAAACACTGGGGCTTTTCAGCAGTGCCTGATGTCTGTTTTATGCTTTGGAAAGGTCCGTATGGTTGCTGGGCAGAGGGTGGCCAGGTGGTGACCCTATGGTGAAACAATGGTACGAGTGCCCCCTCCACTCTTGGAGCCAGAAGCAAGGGTCCTGTGAGCACTGTTGCAGTAGCCCAGGCCAGAGATGTGATACAGTCATGCACCTGTAACAGCGTTTCGGTCGGTGACAGTAGTCCCATAAGATTATAATACCGTGTGTTTACTCTACCTTTTCTTTGTTTAGATACACAAATACTTACCATTGTGTTACAGTTTCCTCCAGTGTTCAGGACAGTCATGTGCTCTACACGTTTGTAGCCTAGAAGCAATAGGCTGTACCATGTAGCCTAGGTGTATATTAAGGATACACCATCTAGGTTTGTGTAAATATACTCTATGATGTTCACACAACGACAACATCGCCTAAGGATGCATTTTTCAGGTTGTATCCCTCTCATTAAGCAGCACCTGGCTGTACCTGGAGCAGGTGTGTAGCAGTGGAGATGGGGTGAGATCCAGCTCCATGGTGAAGCAGGCAGCTGTTTGCTAATAGGGCGGCAGAGAGAAGGGAGGTAGAGCGGGAAATTAATTTAGGGTGATGCCCAGGAGCTTTGTTACACAACTGCGCTGGCGTGCTGCCCCTACAGAAATAGGGAAAGCCTTGGGGTGGGTGTGGGTGTGGGGATTGCTAGCTTATCTTTTGTCTAGTTTTTTTCTTGAGACAGAGTCTTGCTCTGTTGCCCAGGCTGGAGTGCAAAGGTGCGATCTCGGCTCACTGCAACCTCCACTTCCCAGATTCAAGAGATTCTCCTGTCTCAGCCTCCCAAGTACCTGGGCTTACAGGCATGTGCCACCATGCCCGGCTAATTTTTGTATTTTTAGTAGAGACAGGGTTTCACCATGTTGGCCAGGCTGGTCTCAAACTCCTGACCTCAGGTGATCTGCCCACCTCGGCCTCCCAAAGTGCTGGGATTACAGGCGTGAGCCACCGTGCCCAGCCATTTTTAAACTTTTTGGTTTTTTTTCTTTTTTGAGACGGAGTTTCGATCTCGTTGCCCACACTGGAGTGCAATGGCGTGATCTCAGCTCACCACAACCTCCACCTCCCGGATTCAAGCGACTCCCCTGCCTCAGCCTCCTGAGTAGCAGGGATTACAGGCATGCGCCACCACACCCAGCTGATTTTGTATTTTTAGTAGTACATTTCTCCATGTTGGCCAAACTGGTCTTGAACTCCTGACCTCAAGTGATCCACCCGCCTCAGCCTCCCAAAGTGCTGGGATTATAGACGTGAGCCACCGTGCCTGGCCATTTTTAAACTTCTTAAAAGTACAGATTATACAATACACCTATTATACAGAAGTCAGATTTTTCACATAGGGAATCTGATTTCTGAGAAAACTTTAATAGAAGGCAAAATAACAAGTAATGCTTCTGACCAAATTATCTTCTCTCAAAAACTATGTTTCTTCACAAATGTTGAAACTTCATTTTTGTTCTTTATTAAAACAAAAATGTGATCTTGTACAATAAGCTTTACAAAATCAAACAAAAATATGGATATATGTGCTTTTTCCTGGGGCAGCATGAGATTCTTTATATAGACATATCAGACGCCCCACACCAAAGCCATTGATACCTACCAGCAAACAGTGAGATTTCAGAAAACAGTATGTTAAAGTACTCAAGACATTGCACTCTTTGTTAGAAGAGAAACATTTTCAAATTGTATTTCACAGCCCAGGAGCCTGTATTCTCAAGATTTGGAAAAGAAGCTGATCCAGGGTTTCATTATTTTGGGGCAGCATGGATCTGATTAAAAAGCCCTGCTGTTGACCTTCAGCCAGGTTGCTCTTTACCTCAGTTGACTCATCTGAAAGATAAAGAAGTGGAATTATATCACTGTATTTCTGAGGTCTCTTTCCAGCTGCAGTTTCTCTTAATCTCCTATACAGGTTGAATATCTTTTATCCAAAATGCTTGAGACAAGAAATATTTTGGATTTTTGACTTTTTCAGGATATGGAATATTTATATGTACTACCTAATGAGATATCTTGGGGCTGGGACCTAAGTCAAAGTACAAAATTTGTTTGTTTTATATAGACCTTATACACATAGCCTGAAGTTAATTTAATACAATACTTTTCATAATTTTCTGCATGAAACAAAGTTTGTGTACATTAAACCATCAGAAAGCAAAGGCGTCACTGTGACCGCCCACTGGATTCACCTTGCCCGCTGCCCAGATGGAGCTGACTTACCAAGATGGGAATTGCAATAGAGAAAGAGTTTAGTTCACACAGAGCTGGCTAAGTGGGAGACTGGAATTTTATTACTTAAGTCAATCTCCCCCAAAATTCAGAGGCTAGGGTTTTTCAAGGATAATCTGGAGGGAGCTGGGGACTAGGGAGTGGGTGCTGCTGATTGGATGAGGTGCAATCATAGGGGTGTGGAAAATGGTCCTTGTGCCTGCCGAGTCTGCTTCTGCATGGATGGGTCCACAGGACAAGCTGGAGATCTGGATGGAGTCATCAGAAGTGCAGAAGCCTGAAAAGACATTACAAAAGGCCAATCTTACGTTCTGCAATGGTGATGTTATCTGCAGGAGTAATTGGGGAAGTTGCAAATCTGTGGCTGATTTGTTAGTCCAACAAAGGCAGTCTGGTACCCAGACAAAAAGAGGGTTTGTTTGGGGAAAGGGCTGTTACCATCTTTGTTTTAAAGTTAAACTATAAACTAAGTTTCTCCCAAAGTTAGTTCTGCCTATGCCCAGGAGTGAACAAGGGCAGTTTAGACGTTAGAAGTTAGATGGAGTCAGTCAGGTCAGATGCCTTAAACTGTCAATTTTGTCATTGTTAAATTTTTTGCAAAGGCAGTTTCGTCACTATCTCATGTTGGTGCTCAAAAAGTTTTGGATGTTAGGACATTTTGGATTAGGGATGCCCAACTTGTAATAGATGACATTTAATATTTATTTAATACTTATTTAATACTACCTAAATACTTGCAAATACCTGCAAAAACAAGGAGGGCCTGGACAAAAGTGAGTCTCCCTCGGTGCCACTGTATCTGCAGCACTGAGACTGTTTGGTGTAGATACCAAATAAATACCTGAGTGAACCAATAAATAAATGAATAAAAGGAGCTAGCACTGAGTAGCACATGGAGATCATTCCTTGGGGCTGCCTAGTTATCCTTTTCTATTACAAAGACAGAAAAGAGTTGCTTTGCGTTTAGGAATTTTTAAGTGATTTAGTCACTTAAAAACTTGAGTGATTTGAAAACAGTATGACTGGAGTTGATAAAACCTTTAAATCATTAAGGCTGAAAGGAACCTAGGACATTCTGGAATCAAATCCTTTCATGTCCCTGTTGGGGAAATCCAGGTGCCAGATGTTACAAGTATTTAAGTTAATAACTGGTTAAAAACTGACTAGGCATAGGTTAAGGCATAGGTCACTTAGCAAAACCCCACTAACAATGTTTAGTGGCTCTTCTGAGAAATGATATGTATGATCCAGTATCCCCCAGCACTTTAAGTACTCATTGTTGTATCTGTATATTTTTTAATAGAGAGAAAGTAAAAATTCATCAGTCTCATCACCAAACCAGTTGTGCCATAACACTCTCATAATTTGATGAATTCGTCTGTCAGTATCTATTTCTGTCTCTCTCTCTTGTTTGCTCACTGGCTCTCCTTCTGCCTCTACACACATATCCACTATATGCAATTCTGCAAACTATTTTATTTTCCCACAAGTCCAGGACATCATTTCTGTCAACATGTAAGATGCACACTCATGTTTTTAGTGGTCACAGAATATTTCATTTGATTCCTTCCTCATATTTAGTCATAAAGTTTCTCTTTTTTTTTTTTTTTTTTGCTATTATAAACAAAGCAGAAGTGAGCATATTTTCACATGTATATTTCATTCCTAATTGATTGCTGCCTTGAGATAAATTTCTAGAAGTAGAGCTGCTGGGTCAGAGAATAGGTGCATTCATATGTTCTTATCTGTGTTGAATGGCATTATGGATAATAGTCCATATTCTACTTACTAAAATGAAAAAGTATATATATCACCTTATATGAAAGATATAGGCCCCATACAGAAATTATTTTAATAATGGTATCTCAGATCAGTTGAAAGTTTCGCCATTTTAAGGAATTATTTTAAAAGGCGAGCATTACCTCCTTACTGTATTTATTTTGGAAGAACACAGTGCCTTCCTATGGGGTTCTTAAGGAGGGCTAGCTATAGCCTGAAGTGGGAGTCCACCTTATAGCCGAGACCAGAATATGGGAGCAAAGAGGTTAGCTGTGTGCTTGCTACTTCATGGATGCTTTAAGATAATTCTTGGCAGAATACACTGCTGATACCTATGCAGATGATAGCTTTTAATGCATGTCAGACATTCAAGAGTAGCTTGTCCCAGGGGCTTTATTTATGGCAAATCATGGTTCTCTCTATGAGATTTAAGTACATGGTTTTCTTTCCTTCTAGAAAAGCCGGCTGGGCGCGGTGGCTCACGCCTGTAATCCCAGCACTTTGGGAAGCTGAGGCGAGTGGATCACAAGGTCAAGAGATCGAGACCATCCTGGCTAATGTGGTGAAACCGTCTCTACTAAAATTACACAAAAATTTTAGCTGGGTGTGGTGGTACATGCCTATAGTCCCAGCTGCTCAGGAAGCTCAGGCAGGAGAATCGCTTGAACCCGGGAGGCGGAGGTTTCAGTGAGCCGAGATCTCGCCACTGCACTCCAGCTTGGCAGCAGAGCGAGACTCCATCAAAAAAAAAAAAAGCTAGTGCAAACATGGCAGTCTTTCAGCTTAGCCCCGCAGAAAAGAAAGTGATTTTCCCAGGAACTCTTATCTTATGTAGTCTGAACTTTAATGCAGAGCTGTCTGATAGTGTCGTAGCCGTGACGGAGAAGGCCGTGGGGCCTGGAATCTCCTTGCTGTGCTCTGTGGCCCCGGCCCTCTGTGGACGCGTAATGTGAGAGTTTTTAAAGAGTAACTTTCTTTTGTCCTTCTTTAAGATATAGACCCCAGTCCCTCCTTTAAAATATTGGCTCGTGCTGTAATTTCCACTTTGCCTTTTGCCCTTTGACCATCTGTGTGACAAGAAAGCCATTCCAATGGTTCAGTAAGCACCCGCTGAGGCTGGCTCCCCACAGGTCCAGCTCGAGGTGCTGGTGGGGACAGCCCACCCTCTGCTGTGTGCCGTGATCCCAGCTGGAGCTGCTGCACACCCAGAGGGAGCCGCCTCAGTCACACGCCAGCAGACAGGTGCAAATGGAGTGATGCAGACAGAAAGAAAGGAAATCACACCTCAAGATTTATTTTCTTTCTAGAAACACCCGCCGGGCAGCAGAGGTCTGGATGGATGAATACAAAAATTTCTATTATGCAGCAGTGCCTTCTGCTAGAAACGTTCCTTATGGAAAGTAAGTGGCAGTTCTGCCTTCTCACAATTACTGGGGATTCTTGGGGTGTGGGGGTGGGAGGTAAGGGGCTGCCCCCAGCGTTGAATTCAGCTACCCAGGTGCCAAGGCGGGAAGGGGTTGTGGGCACAGGAGCATGGGCAGTCCACACCACACCACCTGCCCCAACCCTGTTCTCCTCAGCAGATTTTCAAGTTTGATGTAGAAAGCCCATCTATTCTTAAAATTTATAAAGGAATCTTATTTCCCTCTTCTCCAGTATTCAGAGCAGATTGGAGCTTAGGAAGAAACTCAGCTGCAAGCCTTTCAAATGGTACCTTGAAAATGTCTATCCAGAGTTAAGGTAAGTCCCCAGGGATCTGGGGTTTCACTTTGTAAGGGCTTAGAAGCCAGTAAGGCCATAGAAGCAGCAGAGGGGAAATGGAGGTGGGGCTGCAGGCATGAGATTGGGCACCTGGGCCCCAGTGAGAGCCTGTGGTCTCACTCCATGGTGTGGAGCTGAGAATCTGCTCCCAAGTTGGCCTGCTGCTGTCTCTGTCCTGCAGAGCTGCCCTCCCATGCTTCGGAGTCCCAGAGGCAGTCCCCCGGGCCTCACCTTGTTTTTGGCTTGTTCTCCATTGGCAAGGTGATGGGCTGGGTGACCTGAAGGACTGGTGTCTGACAGGCTCTTCGAGTGACCAGGAGCAGTCCCCAGCCTCCGCAAGCATGCAGTGTCTGCAGCCAGCCCTCGATCCCCCCGCCAGGCGCCTTTGCATGCCTCCGATCTGCTGCGCTCACCCTTGCTGCTCCTGTGGGCCAGCAGATAACAGCCCCCACGAGGCTCCCTCCTCCCAGCTAGGTTAATCACATGTGAAACGGAAGTAATAATGCTGCTGCCCCACGTCCCTCCGGAGGATTCATGGCAGAAACACCTTTCTGAGCATTATTTCCACACCCAGCCTCTTGTTTTAAGCGAATACGAGCTCCCCATCTGGAGGGACCTGCTGATAACCTCGTGAGAAGACCTATAGATCCGCTGGGGTGGAGGAGCCATCTGCACTTCATCTTCTTAAAGGGACTGTCAGGCAGGTCGTGCCTTAATGCGGCACATTCCTTATTCTAAATATTCCCAGAGCATTTTACAGCGGCTCACATATCTCCAGCACAGTGCCTGCGAACGCAAGACTTGCCACCATTATCTTTCCGCTAACAGCTCCTTCAGAGCCCTTGTCACGGAGATTTGTTGGACAGTTAGGTAATGCGGCCTCTCTCTGTTGCTCCTGTTCGCTCACTTGGCTCTTTGGAACCGTTTCCTCTGCTTTTCAAGTAACATGCCAGGCGCCAGGTGGCCCATGCCCCCTAGGAGGAGAACAGGAGAGAACACAGCGTCCTTCTCCCTCGGATCCCTGCCGTGCAGGACAGCTTTTGCTGGGGATTGAGAGCACCAGATGGTCACCAGCGATGGTCACCTGCAGCGGCAAGGGTGCACTGGTCACAGTTGCTGGTTGCAGGGCCCTGGTCTTCTTCCTGCCAG
This sequence comes from Homo sapiens, assembly GCF_000001405.40. Taxonomy (NCBI): domain Eukaryota; kingdom Metazoa; phylum Chordata; class Mammalia; order Primates; family Hominidae; genus Homo; species Homo sapiens. The sequence goes on from NC_000001.11 coordinate 230,264,176, forward strand.
CTCTGTCCTCTCGGCCATGTGCACTCAACCCAAAAGAACCCATTCTGCCTCTGTGTCTGGCCCCAGAATATGATGTCTACACCTCCTGCCTGGTGTCCCTATACAACAGATTCTTGACTGTGGGCACTAAGGCGGCTGCTCATCAACTCTCCGTCAGCCAAAGAGGGGCTTCAATTCAGTGGATTTTAACCCAACCATGCCACTCACTTTGCTTTTTCAGTCACAGTTGACTGCCATTTCTCACAGAGGTCACCCATGGTTTGTAGTGACACTGGGCCCCGCACCCACTGAAGACCACATCTGAGGCACTGAGCACCATCCTGGCTGGCAAATCTGCTTCCCCTGTCTGTGGGGGGTGAGGGAGACATCAGCCTCGTGTTTTGTGTCTGTAATATCACCGCCGTTTACTGAGTGCCTCCTACGAGCCAGGCACTGGGCCGTGTGCTTTACACGAAATGTTCTATGTAACACTTGCAGCAGATCTGGGTAGCCCATAGCCTACCAAAGGGCAAATCGAGCTTCAGAGAAAGTGAGTCTTGCCTGAAAGCCAGCACCTGGCAGAGGTGGGCTGAGGTTTGGATCTGGTTCTGAAGCACGTTGTTCTTCCCCGTGGCTGTGGCTTTGTTCACATTAGACCACCTGACAAGTCTGCCCACCTTTCCCGTCTTTACTGGATAAAGGTCAGATCCTAAGTGTATTGGAAAGTTCAAGGCAACAGGATCTGACCACATTGATTTTCTAAATGACTTCCAATAAGACTAACATTGAAGAGTATCAGGAGCTTTTCCTTCCTTTCCAAAAAAAAAAAAAAAAAAAAATGACCTGATATAGAATATAAAGAATACTTCTGCAACATACAGTCTTAAAGTGTTGGAAGTCCAGAGCCTGGGAGAAATGCCGTGTCCCTGACACACACTACCTGTGGTAGGAAGAGGCACGATGCCTAGTCACTGGGTCTTTCTCTCGTTCCTGTCACCTGTCATGAGGCCACTGAGCAAAGGGGCTGGTGGACGGGAGCTGGTGGTCATGTGCAGTGAAGCAGGTGATTCTCACGTTGTTTTTCAGGGTTCCAGACCATCAGGATATAGCTTTTGGGGCCTTGCAGCAGGGAACTAACTGCCTCGACACTTTGGGACACTTTGCTGATGGTGTGGTTGGAGTTTATGAATGTCACAATGCTGGGGGAAACCAGGTATGTGCATGGGGAAGCCAGGTCACCTGCAGGCCCAGAGAGAGCAGGAGTTGGGGGGGTCCTGATGTTAGAAGTCCCAGCTGCCACCTTTCTCCTGGGATGGGTGATGTCTATGAGGAAGCACCTGGCTCCTGCTGGCCACAGCCTCTTTGGCAGCCAGCACCAGGGCCAGATAGAATGTCACACACTTTGGTGCATCAGCTCTGTCATCAGCTTCGGACCAGGCTCTGCTGCAGCGGCAAGGGTGCACTGGTCACAGTTGCTGGTTGCAGGGCCCTGGTCTTCCTGCCAGCTCTGTCCTCTCGGCCATGTGCACTCAACCGCAAAGCACCCATTCTGCCTCTGCGTCTGGCCCCAGAATATGATGTCTACACCTCCTGCCTGGTATGCCTATACAACAGATTCTTAACTGTGGGCACTAAGGCGGCTGCTAGTTATAGCCCCTGCCTGTTAGATAATAGCTTAAGATAGAAGATACTCAGTATTAATTGCTTCCATTGCACACATACACACCTTTTCTGAGAGGCATAAAAATGCACAACCGCCAGGCGCCGTGGCGCACGCCTGTAATCCCAACACTTTGGGAGGCTGTGGTGGGTGGATCACCTAAGGTCAGGAGTTCAAGACCAGCCTGGCCGACATGGTGAAACCCATCTCTGCTAAAAATAAAAAAAAAATTAGCCAAGCGTGGTGGCGGGCACCTGTAATCCCAGCTACCCGAGAGGCTGAGGCAGGAGAATTGCCTGAACCCGGGAGGCAGAGGTTGCTGTGAGCTGAGATCACACCATTGCATTCCAGCCCAGGCTACAAGAGCAAAGCTCTGTCTCAAAAAACAAACAAACAAACAAACAGAAAAACCCACTACCTTCTCTTCTCCCATCATTGCAAAGGAGAGACAAAATGAAGGCTTGATGGGCCCAGCTGAGACTTCGGATTCTAAAAACAGTTTTCCCATGAGATAATAATAGGAATTGGGTGAAATGTGAGCTTCATGCACCAAAGGGTAATCCTGTGTGCTCTTACCCCCTTCCTGAAAACTTGCCTGGCACTGGGAGAGCCTGCAGTTTTAAAAAAGGCAGGTTAACTCCGTGTGTGTATCCTGAATGTATTGATTTCTTAACTTTCTTTAACTGGAAGTATTTTTGAAAGGGGGCATGTGCTTTTGTGTAAAGCTGGGTCCTCCTCCCAAGTGAGTGTCCAGGCAGACTGCAATCCACAAATACCTTGACTCCTTTCTTCACTTGGTGATGTGGTTTTAGCAGTTACTTGCAATGGCCTGGACATCCTAAATTAGAAGAGAGAGAGGAACCTGCCTGCCTGGGGCTTGACTGGGCCAGTCCCCATCCAGCATGGGCATGGGGCAGGTAGCCAGGGCCTGGCCCTGGTTCCCCTAAATCTCCAGCCCTTAAATAGAAGATACTTGGCGTTGATGAGTTAGAAAATGAGAGAGAGCCTCATTTTCTCGTGTGGTTTTGGTAGAGTTGATCCTGGATTCTCCGTATCAGCGTCAACAGTCTCGATGGTTCAGAATAGCTAAATGTGATGCTATGTTTGGGTAAGAGCCAATGGGTCAGGTTTGCCGACAGATATGAGTGTGCTTCCAGTGCCTGTGCACGTGTGTGACACACACACACACACACACACACACACAATAGCACATATGCTCATCACGTTCTCACACAACAGCTCTCTTCTCCTGATTCCCGGGCTCAGTCCCCCTCTCTTCCTTGTGCACATGCACCTAGACTCATGTGCTGCTTCTTTCTTCTTTTTCTGTTACTCAGATGCAGAGCTTGTTTTGCTCTCTGTTTCGTGTACATGACTTCATATCATTGATCTCTGTCCTTTTGATAAATATTGTTGGAGGGTTTTTTACTTGGCAGTACTATTTTGCTAGAGAAAGGGATTAGAAGGCAAACAAAGCAATCCCTTGCCTTCCAGAACTCACAGTTGAGCAGAGGAGCCACTGTGGGTTATGAAACAGAGGAGGCACCTGCTCACCTCTGTGCTGTCCAGGTGGCTGCGCCTCCTGTTATTCCGGCTGCCCTCACCTCCATGTTTAATCACTGGGCTTCCCTCTGCTGTGTGGCAGGACTGCATGCCATTCCCAGGCTCCCAGGGCCTGGCGTCTGTGTGTAGCCTCTGGGCTGTGAGGACACTCCCCAGGGAGCAGGCTTCAGGTGTGGGTGCACACACAAGCCAGCCTTCAGCTATAGCCTGAGGGACCAGTTTTAGGTATTTCACACTGTAGCAGGTCAGCCCCCCTGGGTACTCGTCACAGGCCCCACCCGTGTCAGGAGTCACCTGGAGGGAGGAACCCATACAGGGGGAGGGAAGAACAAACAGAGTGGAAGACGAAGCGGGTGAAAGGAGGAGGAGCCAGCTGGTATTGGTGGGGTGGGCAGAGGCGGAGGGGAAGGTGCCATCCCCACCGTGTCCATGCTTCTGTGTCCTTGTAGCTCCTCCATCCAAGACCCTGCTGTTAACTGTGTTCTCAGTCACTGCTGGGAAGCGGGGGGCCCAGGGGACTCACTCAGAGGTGATGGAGGGCGCCGTGCGGTGCTGCTGTGGGTCCCGCTGTGGTCCAGGTGTGACTGGAGGAGGCGTCTCCGCTGGCTGTGTTCCTTCTACACTGATAACAGCGTGTTTATTTCCATGGTTTGGGCTTTGTTCTTGAGATCTGGAAAGCAGTGAGCTTGGGGAGAGATGTTTTATGTGTTTCCATCTAGAACCATAGTGAAAATCCACCGAAATGCCCTCAGAAAAGTGGAGCTCTGTGAGGGAGGGGGAAATGATGGGTCTCATTCTCAGCAAGCTGGGTTTCATCTAAACCGGACAGACGGTGCTGCAAGGCTTGGTCGATCACACAGCATTAATGCAGATTTCACCAAATGCAGACATGTGGATAATTCGTGTAGGGTTGGGTGAAGCTTACCTCTGGTCTGTGGATGACAAAACGGACGAGGTGCCCACCCAGGTTCCGTACTGTCTGGGTGTTGGGCCTCTTGTGATCCCTGGCCAGCCTCACCTCCGTGTTTAATCTCTGGAGTTCCCACTGTCACTCTGCAGTGTTCTGATGATTTATGGAAGGTTGGAGAGGTCACTCCTTTCTGTGTCAGCGCCTCTGCTGGAAAGCGACACACCTTACGCTACAGCACATTAAACAGAAGCGTGTGCTCAGGCCCCGGCCGAGAGAGTTCGTCATCAGAGTCTCGGGCCCCAGCTTCATCCCCTGTGCGTCAGGCTCTGTGACTGGCTCACCCCCCGCCAGCATTGCACCTTAATTACCGCACAGCTAGTAACACGAGACAGAGTCTGGGCCCTGTGGAGGTGGCAGGTCTACGGGAACCAAAGACTTTGTCTGTGTAGCTGCTGCCTGTGACCCTCCTCACCTGCCCTCAGGAGGACAGCCTGTGTCCCGCCTTCAGGGCTGTGGCCCTCACCCCCCGGTCCTGCCCAGTAGAGAGTCTCCAGGATTCCTCTCTGCACAGTGCTGAGGGCAGCCACAGCACAGACCTTTGACACAGAGCGCCCATTCCTTGCCTCTGCACCAACTTCAGGGGTCAGCAAAGGGCTGTGCCAAGGAGTGAACAAGATCGGGTCTGCAGGGTGTGTCTCCCACTCTGCTTTTGCTTTTCCTTCTTGCTGTTGTGCAGCCATTACTGTTCTCACATGTGGGCTTTCCCTTCCTTTCCAGCAGTAAGTGCTGACTCCCTGCTCACTCTCTGTCCCCCTCCAATGGCCACATCCTGGGATTGCTCAGAGAAATTTTTTTTTTCTTTTTTTTTTTTTGAGACGGAGTTTGGCTGTGTTGCCCAGGCTTTTTTTTTTTTTTTGAGACGGAGTTTGGCTGTGTTGCCCAGGCTGGAGTGCAGTGGTGCAATCTCGGCTCACTGCCACCTCCGCCTCCCAGGTTCAAGCCATTCTCCTGCCTCAGCCTCTCAAGTAGCAGGGATTACAGGCACGTGCCACCACACCCGGCTAATTTTTGTATGTTTAGTAGAGACGGGATTCCACTATGTTGGCCAGGCTGGTCTCGAACTCGTGACCTCAAGTGATCCACATGCCTCAGCCTCCCAAAGTGCTGGGGTTACAGGCGTGAGCCACCACAACCAGCCTGCCCAGAGAACTTTTACAAAATGCTGATGCCAGGTGCTATGCCCAGAGAGCCTGATCTAATTTGTCTAGGGTCAGAGGGCACCACCAGATCTCTAAGAGCTAACAAGTGATTCTAAATGAGGATTTGGCCTGCTGTAGTGGTACACACCTGTAATTTCAGCACTTTAGGAAGCCAAGGCAGGAGGATTGCTTGAGGCCAGGAGTTCAAGACCAGGCTGGACAACATAGGGAAGCTCCGTCTTTACAAAAAAAAAAAAAAGATTAGCCAGTTGTGATGACCTGTGCCTGTAGTCCAAGCTACTCAGGAGGCTGAGATGGGAGGATTGCTAAAGCCCAAGAGGTCGAGGCTGTAGTGAGCTGTGATTGCACCACTACACTCCAGCCTGAACAACAGAGTGAGACCATGTTCCTAAAATAATGTAAAATAAATTAGGGCCGGGCACGGTGGCTCACGCCTGTAATCCCAGCACTTTGGGAGGCTGAGGTGGGTGAATCACGAGGTCTGGAGTTCGAGACCAGCCTGGCCAACATGGTGAAACCCCGTCTCTACTAAAAATACAAAAGATTAGCTGGGCATGGTAGTGGGCACCTGTAATCCCAGCTACTCGGGGAGCTGAGGCAGAAGAATCACTTGAACCCGGGAGGTGGAGGTTGCAGTGAGCCGAGATCGCACCACTATACTCCAGCCTGGGTGACAGTGTGAGATTCTGTCTCAAAAAAATAAATAAAAATTTTTAAAAAATAGGAGTTGAGGAGCAAGCGTTTTCTAGTGGAAAGATGAACACATCAGCACATACAATGTGATGTGAGATGGCAGGATGACATGATGTATGTTACACCCTCAGCTTGGGAGCACCTTACTGCCTGGGCCAGTCTGGGGCCAGTGGGCTACTATCAGTACTTTCCAATAGAACCATGTGCTATGATGGGGATGCTCTACATCTGCCATTCAGTATATCAGCCACATTGTGGCAACTGGGCACTTGAAATATGACTAGTGTGAATTACAAGTTTAATTTCATTTCATTCTGGTGAATTTAAATGCAAATGGCCCTGGGTGCCCTGTAGCTAGCACATTAGACAGTACGGCTCAGATATTCCAGCTCACAAACCCACTGTGCGTGAGTCCTCTCTGAACCGATAGAAAGTGATGCTTTTTTGCATAGCGTGTGACACGGATGAGAAACGAGAGGGTAAGTAATATTTCCCAACTGAAAATAGGGCCTGGTGCTTTGGAAGAGTGAGGTTTGTTATCTGGTTTCCGGCTGAGCCTTGGCAGACACACAGGAAATGAGAAAATTAATGGCCATGCCTTTTAAGAGTGGCAGCTCAAAAAAGCATTTCTTAAATATTTATGAACTTTATTTTACAAATTCAGATAATTGAAATGCAACAGAAGAACAAAACGGCAACTAGCTCTGTTGTTTGCCCAGCTGAATTAGTTTTTCTGGAATCCTGTGTAAAGTCTGCTTTACAGTAATTAAGCACACAATAGCAAGGAGGTTGTAAAAACATTCAGACATGATCTTTAACTGGGTGTCAGCAGACCATCCAGCATCCGCCAACACCTGCTGCCAGGGACAGTCTGGAACCCTTCTCCATACCAGCGTTGTCCCTCTTACTCAGGACTCTCCTCTTCACTGTGAGTGGGCGTCTCTGTGTACCACAGTTTCACACATCCTGGTGGTGTCCCCAGCCCCTGTGAGTGCAGGGACGGAACAATGTGCTTCTTCCTGGCCCTCTCCATCCTGAACGCCATCTGCCTATGGGAAACACACACGGCTTCCTCTCTACACTCCACACCTTCCATACTCTGTGACCCAGTGAATAGGAAAAAAGCTGCTTTTCCTCCTTTATACTCTCACAAAACTTCTCACCTCTGACACCAGCCCTGTGGGCTTTTCCCCCCACACCAAGCAATTCTCCAATTCTCCAATTCTCTGCGGACACTGAGTGTCATGCCTGTCAACTCAGTTCTGACACTGCCTACCCAGAGTTAGCACAGACCCCACGGGTTATGGGCTTCCTCCCACAAGATGCTTCTACTCCAGATGCCAGTCACAAGTCCAAGTTGTCACCTGCTGTCTGACTGTAAATCAGGGCTCCCGCGACCTCGCCTTGAATTCATTCATTTGCAAGAATAGTTCATAGAACTCAGGAAAACGGTTTACTTCGTGGCTTACCTGTTCATTAGGAAAGACTGAAACCCAGGAGCAGCTGGACGGGAGAGATGCATAGCACGCGGTGTGGAGGTGGGGTGTTGGAGCTTCCACGCCCTCTCCAGGTGTGCCGCTCTCCCAGCGCCTCCGCATGTCCGGCAGCCACATCCCGGAGTGCAAGGACTTTGACGGAGGCCTCATCACATGGGCATGATCTCCAGCTCCTCTTCCCTTCCCAGAGGATGGGGTGGCGGGGGACTGACGGTTTCAAGCTTCTCAGCATAACCTGGTCTTTCTGGTGACCAGCCCCGTCCAGGAGCCCATTAGAGTTGCTTCATTAGAACAAGACACTCCCATCACCCAATAAATTCCAAGGGAGTAGGAGCTGTTTGTTGGGAACCGGGGTCAAAGACCAAACACTAGAATGAAAGATGCTCCTAAAACCCCTGTGGCTCAGGAAATGACAAGGGTTTTAGGAGCCTTGTGATTGTGCCAGAGACCAAATAATTATTTTTATGATGTCACACTGTCCTAGAGTATGGGTGACGTGAGTGCCTGTGGGTGCTTGGAAGAGCTGGCTGGAACTCACCCATGTTGAATGACAGCATCATAGAATGTTGGGATTCGACTCAGGGTCGGGTGGCCTTCCCCAGAGAAGGTGGCCGGCAGGGCTGGGTGGGTCAGGGCTGCCTCCATGCCGTGTTTGGAATGCTACAGTGCACAGGCCAAGCAGGTGCTTCTACTCTAGGACTCTTCAGAGCCTTTAATAGACTGAATTTCCGAGAGATAAACACAGCACAAAGTCTGTTTCCCAAATTCATTTGACCTAGAATCCGTCTTTCCTAGGATTCCTCACAGAGTAGAATGTGAGGAACACTAATTAAAAGGTGAGAAAATGGAAGACCCGGGAAGTGAGCAGGCTTGCCCAAGCCTCCCTCCCTGTTAGGGGAGGAGGAAGTCTTCAGACAGGTGAAGGTGTCTTCACTGATTCCTAGACGGGTGTCCGTGCCTCTGCATCCCCTCTGCTGATGCTGAGAGCTGGAGATGGTGCATCCCGCCAGTGGTTGTATAAGGTCTGAATGCTAGAATCTTTAGGGTTTGGTTTGGTTTGGTTTGGTTCGGTTCGGTTCAGTTCGGTTTGGAGACAGGGTCTCGGTCTGTCACCCAGGCTAGAATGCAGTGGCACAATCACAGTTCACTGCAGCCTCGGCCTCCCAGGTTGAAGCAATCCTTCCACCTCAGCCTCCCAAGTAGCTGGGACCACAGGCATGCACTGCCACACCCGGTCAACTTATTTTTTATTTTTAGTACAAACAAGGTCTCGCTATGTTGCCTAGGCTGATCTTGAACTCCTGGCATTAAGCAGTTCTCCCGCCTTGGCCCCCAAAGTGCTGGGATTATAGATAGGCCTGAGCCACCACACCGGGCTGCATCTTCACCTTTTAATGTTTTTCTAATGACGGACTATTTGTTCCAACATGATACAGATACTAGACAGTGAGGCTTCTTTAAACACTATTTGTTCCTTTCCTTACCTCTGTTTCCAAGAACCAAGAAAAAAACAGTGTCTTCATAGCACATAATAGTGCCTGAAGTTGCAGAATACATTTATTTGTGTGTCTTTCATGTTCCCCACTAGAAAGGGAGCCTGGCTCTGTGACAGCGCCGGTGTCATACAGGTGTGCAGCAGGTGGTCATGGGACAGACCGATAGAAAGACAGACAGACAGACGGAGGGGAGGGCCACTGCAGCGTGCTGGGGCTTAGAGAGGAAGGGGATGGAAGTGGATAGTGAGTCCCTGTGGGGTTTTAAACTGGAAAGGGCCTTGCTGCCCCTCGATATTAAGGGGTGTTCATCCCTTTGAGTGGGACAAATGGAGAGTGATGGTCAGAAGCCTCACCTTCCAGTCCCTGCTGTGGCCCTGCCTGGAACAGGCTCCGGCCTCCTCTGCCACCTGGGACCATGTCTCATTTAGTATCCAAAATGGTTGTCCTCTCACCCTGTCACAGCCTTTAACTTGTGTGTGTTTGTACATATATGTGTGTGTTTGTTTGTTAACATCATGGTGTGTTATTTAAACACTCTCTAGCTCAGTTTTCTCATCTATAAAATGAGAATAATAATAGCCCTCATGGAGCTGTTGTATAAAGGGCTTAAAATAATGCTTGGCACATAGCACCCCATTAAATTTAGCTGTAATGTATTCAAAGAAATTCATAGATCTATTCCTCCAGTTTTCAGAGGGCTTCATGAGCACCCATAGATCAATTAGCATTCACTTAGGAGGCTATACACGATATATTTTGCTTACATATGCAATGTGTTATTTACTACAGTTCACATTCATCAATGCTGTTTGCAGGCCATACCTGCATGAGGGCAGAGTCATTCCAAAATAGCATGGGTGGACCAGTTGCCAACTGTCTACCTGGTGTATAACCAAGCTTGTGCCACAGTTTTTACAGCTCACATTGAATTATAGAAAAATGAACAAGGCAGTCTAACTTGTATTTGGGGCTAAAATAGTTAATAGTTTTATTTTAGTTACTGAGGTCCTCAAAGCACTTCTGCACATCACTCAGCCAACTTACTGCTCAGTTGTGAGGTTCTCCCACATCTCTGATGTTATAAATTTGCCCTTAGGCAAAAAGTAATTGTTTCGTTCTCAGTTGGCTCAGGGGTTCTGAATCTAAGCTCCACCCCGTGACCCATTTCCTTTTTGAGCCCTCATCGATGCCCCTTCTTTCCTTTCACAGCCCGGTGCATAGCACGCCTCTGACTTCTGGTTTTGTGTTCCAGGAATGGGCCTTGACGAAGGAGAAGTCGGTGAAGCACATGGATTTGTGCCTTACTGTGGTGGACCGGGCACCGGGCTCTCTTATAAAGCTGCAGGGCTGCCGAGAAAATGACAGCAGACAGGTACGGCTTGCAGGCACCCGTGGGTGCCCGTGATTAACCCAGACCAGGGTAGCCACGGCCTGCGCCCTCTTGCTCTGTGCTGCCTCTCAAAGCATCCATCTCTGCGTGTACTTATGTGTTCTTTTGCATCACTGTGAATAATGTCTAGCTGCCCTATTAGACTTAAGCCACAAACCTAATGTTGCTTATTTCTGATTATATTCTCATTCTCTTCCCTATGCCGCTGAAAATTTAAAGAGAAATTATCTACTTTTGTTTATTCATCAAATACTTTTTTCTATTTCAATTTACAAAAATTCTAAATGATTAATGTTCACATGGATGGTACTCGATACATAATGCAAGTGTGTGTGTCTATGTGTGTATATATGTGAGCATATATATACACACATATATACACACCACATATATATACATGCTACATATATACATATATACATGCCACATATATACATATATACACGCC